>NC_000003.12:172947998-173099513 GCF_000001405.40 Homo sapiens | reverse complement strand
GTAGTCTACCTTTATCCTCAGGAGATACATACCAAGACCCCCAGGGGATTCCTGAAACTGTGGATAGTACCAAATTCTATATATACTATGTTTTTTCTTATACATACATACCTAGGATAAACTGTAATTTATAAGTTAGACACAAGAGATTAACAACAATAGCTAACAATTAGAACAATATGCTGTAATAAAACTTATGTGAATATGGTCTGTCTCTGTCTCTCCCTCTCCATCTCTCTTTCTCTCTCTCTCTCTCACTCTCTCTCTCTCTTTCTGTCTCTTTCTCTCAAAATATCCTATGGTACTGTACTCATCCTTCTTGTGATGATGTAAGAATGCTTGTGTGATGAGGTGAATGACCTAGGCATTGTGAAGTATCGTTATGCTACTATTGACCTTCTGATGTTATGTCAGAAGGAGGATTATCTACTTCAGGTGATCCTGAGTCATCAAGCCATGACAAAGTCAATGGTTGGATATGAGAAGCAGACAGTGTTGATGATTGGGGATCCTTGATAGTTGAAGGTTTTTGGTTTTTTGTTTGTTTGGTTGGTTGGTTGGTTGGTTGATTTTTGCCAAATCCTTTTGAAAGAACATTGTGATCTGACATTATTATCTCTTTCTTTTTAACTCATCAGAGTGTTGCTGCAGAGGTTGTAATCCTTTAGTGATCATATGGGCGGCTTTAATGCTGCATTCTATCAGAAAAGAGTATTCCATAATTTTTTCCTTTACTATCTGTGCCATTAGAAGCACCATGGCATATTTTGGTAAGTGCACATTGCTGATTCTACTTCAGTTTCTTCTTTTTCACAGTCTTCTGTCTGTAAGTGACTCAATAAGCTCTTCTAATTCTTCATTTTTTAACACTTATCAATGGCCTTCAATATGATCTTCCACTTCTTCATCATGCATGTTGGCAAATCTCTCCCTATCACCTTGTCTTGCTGCATAAATGATTTTCCTGACTTCCATTTATCCCCAAGAGGCCTTTAAAATCATTCACAGCTTTACTCTGTAAGTTCTTCCAGAAGGCATTTATGATTTCTGGTTTTAACTTATCCATTGTAGCTTTGGTAAATGTTATTGCACCAGTAATAGTGAATGATTTACAGCATGACATTGTCCAGATTAGGGTCTACATCAATTGCTGATTAAGTGAGATAAAATACCAAATGCGTGCACGTGGCCTTGATGAACTGGATGATGCCCTGGTGAAGGGGCTGAAAGAATGAGGTGGTATATGGAGTTAAAAATACAGCCTCAACATTTTCATTTTAGTGGCAAACAGATTCAGGATGGCTGGGTACATTGTCTATTATTAATAGGGCTTTAAACTCCAACTCTTCTTTTTCCAAGTTTTTTTTTTTTCACTTCTGGGATGAAGGATTGGTGGAATTATTCCATAAACAAGATGGCTGTCACCCACACTTTCTGATTATGTTGCCAGAACAGTGGCAGATAATTTTTGTTTTCATTTTTTAATAGTATGTGGCTTCTTCTCTCTGTTCACTGTGCCTGGCTTTACAATATGCCCTGCAGCATTGCTACATAGTACCAAAATTAATTTGTCCTTCCATGTTTTATGCCCTTGTGCTTCCTTTGCACTTTGACAAATGCAAGTTCTACTGGATATTTTCTTCCAGAAGATCCAGGTTTCACACAATTGAAGACTGGCTTTGTTGAATGGTATCCTTTGTCTTTAATAAACTTTTTCAACTCTGCTGGAAGTAGAGCAACAGCTTCTTCATTGGCAGAGGTAGCCTCTCCAGTAATCTTTATAATTTTTCAGTTCAAACATATTCCTGAATCTGTGTAGCCATCCCTTACGTGCAGTAAATGGCTTGGTGTCATTCATTTCAGGAAATCCCTTGCTAAAGTCTTTGTCAATGCTTGCTGACGCAACATGTTGCCATCAGTCAGAACACATTTTCTGTTCATGCCTTCCACCCACAAATGTAATGCCTTTTTCCTTTTAATGAAGCACTTATCATGAACTATGGCCATAACTTTTGCAGTTTGAGGTGCTACAGCAAAACGAATACAAATTTCCTTTTCCTTCTTCACAATTTTATGGATAGATTTGTTCTTACCATAGATCTCAGCAACCTCAGTATATGACTTTTTTCTTTCTTAAGTTGAGAACTTTCACCTTTTGACTTAAAGAAAGTACTTTATGGCTTCTCTTTGGCATACCTGAATTGCAAGCATCACTACTCTTGCACTTTGAGGCCATTAAGTAAGTAAAATAAGGGTTACTTAAACAGAAGCTCTGTATGCCTGGACAGTCAATCTGATAAGCAAGAAGGCTACTAAGTGACTATGTGTGGGTGGCATCTAGAGCATGGATATGTGAGACAAAAGGATGATTCACATCCCAGGAATGATAAGGCAAAACGGTATGAGATTTCATTACACACAATAGTGTGCAATTTAAAATTTATAAATGTTTATTTCTAGAATTTTCCACTTAATATTTTTGGACTGCAGTTGACCATGGGTAACTGAAACTGCAAAACCATGGGTAAGAAGGGACTACTGTATATGATATTCTTTCTAAAACTTGATTTCTTTTTGCTTAAAAATAAGTGTTAGTGGTTATACTTTATCAATATATAATAAATTTCTTCCTTTTTATGATTGTATAATATTCCATCATGCTAAGGATACATATTCCCTTTAATAAACATTTGAGTTGTTTCTGGTGTTTTGCTCCTAGAAATAGTGTTGTGATAAGTCACCTTGTACACATGTCATTTTGCATGAATACAGATATATCTGCTGGATACATTACCTAAATTCAAATGAAAGAGGTTGCATATTGAAATTCAATAAATATTGCTAAATTACACCCCTATCAGCTGTGTATTAGAAGGTCTATTTTCCTTTATTCTCACCAGCTTATCCACTTTATTCTTTCCTTTATTCTACACTGGTTAGTGTATTACTAATATTTTTTATCCTCTCCCAAAATAATAGGTTTAGACAATCAGAGTGTAAGACAAATCTGCATTTCTCTTATTATGAATTGAGCAGCTTTTTCTACATTTCAGAGTCATTTGCACTTGCTTTTCTGGGTATTTCCATTTCTATGTCTATTATTTCACCCCAGTTTTCTAATGGGTTTCTAAGTGATTTTAAGTTCAAAACAAGTTCAAAAAGTCCCTTTTGGGCAAGTAAGTTTTCCCCTATGTAATTCTGGTAATTCTTTGTAGAGTAGTAGAAAATGACTTCCCCTTTTAATTTCTGTTTAGTTACAAACTTGCATTAGAACCCGATTACCATCCTATGATAGTGCCAGCGCTGACCCAAATGCCCATTTCTTAAGGTAACTGTCTCTAAACTAAAGCACATGTTCGTATTTTCAAGAAATGGGATAGTAGTTTAGCAATAATATTTATTAAAAAATATTTTTAGTCTATAAAAATCAGAAAGCTCTTTATTAGTAGTAAGGTTCTTATATAAAAGCATTATTTCTTTTATATAGGGAGATTGTAAAATCTATAAGGGTTCCTTTGGCAATTTAGGAATTGTTTATTACTAGAGCTTATAAACTTTTAGATTTTGATATAGTTTCTAATGCACCAAGTCTAATGTCATTTCTCTTAAAAATGCTTAGAGGAAAAGTAAATATGATAGAAGTTAATAGCTAGATAATGTAGGTTTCACCTAAAATATTCTCCAATAATACATTATATGAGTAGCATGTGGTAGCACAGTTCTATTAATTCCGGGTGAATGTTTTCTTGTTAAATTTTGTTTAAAGTGCTACATTTTAATTTGTCTCTGATATAAACCATGGATTTCAAATAGGAAAATAATTTGAGTCTTCCTACTATGTATTTACTCTATAGCAAGAAATATAAAGACTGTCAATAATGGCTTAGTCAAATATGATACCCAACTTGGAATTATCTCTGACTGGTGGCAATGATTGATAGAAGGGATATATTTCTTCCACAACATCAGAAAACCTATGCTGAACTTTGAGTACAGAATATCTCTGGTAATACTGTAAAAAAATGGAAATTTATAGATAGCTGACATATACATAGGTAGATATTTACATTGTTTTCATTTATTCTTCACCTCTAAGAGGTAAAGAAGAAAAGAAACTTGACTTTCATAGCCAACAAAAAATTAATAGTTTTTTTATTATTGTCTGGAAGTCCCTTTTATTCAAATGTTTGGAGTTATAGTTTTAACTCTGGTTTGCTTTTTTGTTTTGTGCTTCTTTGTTTGTGTACTTAAGTTAGCATTCATTAAGTGTTTAGTTTATGCCAGCACTTTATTTACCATACTCCTTCAATTCCTACAATAACCCAAAGAAGTAGGTCGACCATTAGCCTCATTTTGCAAATGAGGAAACTAAGGCTCTAAGAAGCCAGATAACTTGATAAAGATCACCCTACTAGTAAGTAGCAAAGCTAGAGCTTGAACCAAGCATATCTGTTTCCAAATATGTAGTAACTATGACCACTATATAACAATGCCTATTTAGCAGTAGAGCCCTTTACAAATAAAATTTTACATAGAACCATGGCTGATATTCAAAATATTTTATAATCAACATAGCCAAATCACTGAGTAGCCAAAAAAAGGACACACATTAACGTGAACATGTGCTTACAACCAGGTGCTGAATATAAGCTCAATAAATTTAGGAAGATAAAACGGAGCTGCTCCGAGGCTGACTGGAGATGGCCAGGGCTTAGCCCTACGGCCTGCCCATCACAATCTTTCAGAAGAAGGTCCTTCCGTCTCCATTACCCCTCCCAACCTTCACTTCATGGAAACCAGGATTTGACAGTAAAAGCCAAAAAAAAAAAAAAAAAACAACTCCCATAACACCTTATTTGCATCAATCCATGATCTATTAGAATAGCTTACATGCTCTGCATTTGTATTCTTCATGAATACCTGAAGATAAAGATACAGATTAATCCAAAAACCTTTAAAATATCTTTTGACTAGACCTGCCCTGATTCTAAATTTTCTAGTATTATTTCCTAGGGAAATCTCTCCTTGTACATTTTGGCAAACACCTGCTGGGAAATATATATCTATCCTTTATGGTCATTTACTGAATCTTCACAACTATATGCTTGAAATTCACATTTGGCTCAAAATTACTTTCCTCTTTAAAGCATTACATAAACAGTATCATGTCCAACAGGGAATTTGGCTTTAAATATTTGTAATTCATTTATTTAAATAGCTACCAGGCAAACTATATAGTGGGACGGTGACCCTTGGATGTTGTTCTTATGGTGATAAAATTGGACAAAATATACAGAAAAGAATGCAGAACAAGCCCAGCAATTATGAAAATACAAATATTTGTGCTTTGGTTCATCAGTGATTAAGCCAGATTGCACTTTTAATTATTTTTCAGAAGGTACTTGTGGTGTGTTACTATACAAAGAAAACATAACTGAAATAAGAGTTAAAGGGATGCAAAAAAAAAAAAGAAAAAGGAATTGAATAGAGAAGGAACAGAGAGAGCAGCACAGGAAAGAGGAAAATGAAGTAAATCAGAAAGACTGCTCTGTGCTCCATAGCACTCCAAATAAGCACAAAGTGGTATTCTGTGCTTACTGGGAGCTAAGATAAAAAGAGAAATGGAATTTATTTAGCTAGCTCCCATTTACTCATTTACAGGAATACTGACCCATAAGAAGAAATAGTCTTTTTATTACTACTGAGCTGTAAAAGAATTTTGTTACAGGGGAATTGTGTAAGGAGTGACTGTATCAATACCTTTTGAGGTTATCTATTTTGGCATATAAATATACTTTTAGAAGCATGCTATATACAATAGCGATGGCCCAATTTCTGTCTCAAATACATAACTTCTGCAGGCTTATTTTACAAGTTCTTGGGGTGTTTGCATGATGAATATGATTTTAATCCTTATAGTATCATCATATACATAGTAATCTTTTAGAAGTTTTTATTTCTTCATTCAATGTCATTCAAAACTTTTTTATTGTGTGCCTCTTCTGTGCCAGGCATTGGGTTAAACTCTGGGGATATAATCCAAAGCAGACATGTTCTCTCCTTTCCAGAAGACTATAGTTCAGAAATGAGAATGCAATGGAAATAAGATGTGTAAACATGCTCCAGTAAAGGAAGAACAATGTACTGTGACAGTACATGGCATCTGACAGAGTCTAGAGCTGTGCTTCCCACAATTTTTATTTCATTAATCAGTACCATTTTTTAAAATAAGAGTCAACATAGCTTGTCATATTTTGTTAGCAAAGAAAGACAATTTTTTAAATAGAAACTACTATCTTCTAACACCACCATTTCATTTAAAGAACATTTTAAATTAAAAATGTAAGAAGAACATAGTCTTAGAATTGGGGATAGACTTTCACCCAAAACAGAAAGAGATAACTGTCAATCATAACTTGAAACATATATATATATATGTGTGTGTGTGTGTGTGTGTGTGTGTGTGTGTGTGTTTTAGGTGCATAAAAATTACAATAAAACTGTATTTTAATTGCAATTTGTGGAAAGTGCTACAAAAAGGAAATACAGTACAATGATAGAGAATAACAGGAGGGGACTACTTCAGAAAAAGAAGACAGGAACTCTCAGAAAAGGCAGAATATTTAAGCTGAAATCCAAAGGATAAGCATAAACCAAATAGGCAATGAGAAAAGAAACAAAACCTTTTTTGTCTGAAATGTTTAACTGTCTCCTCTGTATTTGTTTTCTGTGGTTAACTAGAAATTTCTAACAAGTTACCACAAATTTAGTGGCTAAAACAATACAGTTTATTATCTTACAGTCCAAAATGGGTCTCACTGGGCTAAAATCAAGGTGTTTGCAGGGTTAAATTCCTTGGGTAGACTCTAGGGGAGAATCTGGGTTTTGGCTTTTTCCAGCTTCTAGGGACCATCTATAATCTTTGGCTGTTGGACCCTTCCTCCGTCTTCAAAGCCAGTTTGACACTGACTCTTCTGTATCTCTATTTCACATTCAAAGAAACTTTGTGATTATATTGAGCCCACTCCAATAATCTAAAATAATCTGTTTATCTGATTAACAACCTTAATTCTATGTGCAGCTTTCATTCTCCTTTGCCATGTTGCATAACGTAGCCACAGGTTCCAGGGAGTAGGATATAGACATCTTTGAGGAGACATTATTCTGCCTACCACAGCCTCTGGCTAATGCAGAACACTTTGTGCTAAATTGCTTTCTTCTCAATTACTGGCTTGTCAAGAACTGTGAAGACTATGAGATATTACTTGACTTGCAAGCTGACAAAATAGCTTGCCAGAGTTCATGGATGGCAGTATTTAAGAGATAGAAACTCCTGGGTCACAAAGAATATTATTGCTGATGGCACCACAAGCAGTATGAGCATCAGCATATTTGCATCAATTCTGCTTATCCCACAGGGCTGATCCAGATGGGTCTTGATGAATGGTTGCACACAACAAGGATTGTGCAGGAGAGGAACTTCAAGCTTAGGTAACCTAGATCTTTTATAGTGGGCAGTAAGCATGCCTGTCCTTTTTTATGGAGGGAGACACTACCTGCCTCTTCCCAGGCTATTCTCTATATAAATATTCTGGAAAAGATAATCTAGAACAAAGGGTGGTTACTGTCTTGTTGACAAGACATGCAAAAGCTATAAAGACCCATGGAAAATTATGCTGCATCTTTATTTTATAAATAACCTGGCCTATAGTTTCTCAAACGTAGGGGCTAGTTCCTTCAAAATCATTTGAAAATCAATTGGTTTTATATGAAAAGATTTGATTTCCTCTCTTCAAATACCATTTTTCCACCTTCTTGTTCAACTCAACCTTCATTTATTAATACATTTCATTTAAACATTTTTCTAGCACTTAGAAAAATGTCTTGCAAGTGTTCCTTATTACTGTCTTATCATTGGACAATTCTATATGAAAATATGTTGACTTTTTGGCTACAAAAGACAGCTTGACCTCACTTTACAATGAGGAAACAAATATTAGCAAATTCATTAATTAGGGTCCTGATACAAACAGATAATTATGAAGAAAAACCAAGAGCCAATATTAACTTGATGTGAAATGTCAGTAAGAAGTGGAAAGCAGACAAAATAATTTCTACACATTAAATCCAAACCTATTGGAAGAGCAAGTAATGACTGCAGCAAGTTAAAAAAAAAAGTCAAATAAATTAATGATTATATTTGACATTAAAAGTATAAACATTTATGAATTTACTAATAGGTCTATTCTCTCTTCTTACTGACATTAGTCTACTAAGTTAAAGCTACTGCTTACATATGTTTTTAGTTTTAAGGACAAAGAAGGTTACAAGAAAAATATTAAGCTATCTAATGATAAAAAAGGAGCTAGGTCAGAAGAAAAAAGAAATATGCCCTATCATCTTTGTGCAGAAGTGATGGTGGTAGACATATATCAGAAAGACATATTCTTTGAGCAACTTTTTTTTTCCCAGAAGCTGTAATATGTAAGGTGAGTTGTCAATGTCCTCCCACCTAATAGGCCTGAAACCAACATTAAGATGTCAGATCAAGGGAAAGTTAGCAGTCTTTATTCAAAAAAGAGAGGTGCCCAGAAGCAAACTAAATTGTATTTATACTCTACATGTGTAGTGATTACATGCAATCTTGCCACTCTTCTGGTCCCATTCATGGCTCAGAAAAACTGAAGTAAAGCACCGTCTCTACTTTTACCATATCCTTGTGTTATCACAGATCATTGGTCCTATGTTAAATGTATCCATTTGAATATACTGGCAAAGAAGCACTTAGGAGTTGCCAAGGAGCATGACAAACTGCAGCAGCTTTTCTTGACAGGTAAAATGCTACCGCAATTCAGTGGAAGGCATTTAGGAACTGCAATCAGAAAACCTGCATTTTCAATCTGGCTCCCCCTCAGCTGATGTCTGTGAGCTTTAAGCTTCAATTTCCTCATTTGCAAAAAAAGGATAAAATTATGTTACCCTATTTCTGATCTCAGGGTGATGCAGTATTTGTGGAAGCGCCAAACTCATAAATGTAAGACTTTAGCATCATTCCATTCTTGCATTGCTGTAAAGAAATACCTGAGACTGGGTAATTTATTGGAAAAGAGGTTTAATTGGCTCACAGTTCTGCAGGCTGTACAGGAAGCATACCAGGCATTGGCTTCTGGGGAAGCCTCTGGAAGCTTACAATTATTGCAGAAGGTGAAAGGGGATCAGGCACATCACATGACAAAGCAGGAGTAGGGTGGGGTGAGGGAGGTGCTACACACTTTTAAACAGTCTCATGACAAGCCACTCACTATCATGAGAACAGTGCCAAGAGGAATGGTGCTAAACCATCCATGAGAAATCTGACCTCATGATCCAATCAGCTCTCACCAAGCCCTACTTTCAACATTGGGATTTACATTTCAGTATGACAGTTGGATAGGGACACATCCAAACTATATCAACATTTTTTCTGGGATTTCTTCCTCTTTGTTTTATTTTGTTTCAGAATTTTCTTTGAGGTAGTTCTTTAGCACCTGTTAAAAGCAGGCTTTTTAGTAGAAAACAGTATCCAGTTGAAAAACAAGAAGTGTGATTATAATCCACAATTTACAACACGCTCAAGTCAGAATTCCTGAGCAGTTGTCATAATCTCAGCCACGGCTTAGGCCCTGTCTTCCAGTAAGGGCCCATGTGCTGAGTCCTGGAGGAGTAGTGCTTCCGCAGTTTACCAGCACCTTCCCGTTTCCTCCTGCCTGGTGTTCCAATCCCTTCCTTCATCCCCATTATTTCCAATTCAGTGCTTTTCTCACTCCACATCTCAACAAGGTTCACCATAAGAAACACCTTACAAGGTACAGCTCCTTGTCCTCGTCGTTCACATTCCTGACACAATCCACCACCACCATGTCTTCAGGTCCCCTCAAGTCACAGGCTCCCCTTTTCAGGGCCTCCTCTGGTTCATTTTCCCGCAGAAGCTAATGGGCCCTTATCCGTATCTTCACTGACTGCTGTCACTGATAACAGGCAATCATGCACTCCATTACAGCTGTTAACTCCTCACAGTCACTGCCTCATCCGCTTCCCAGTTATTTCCTGAAGTTTCCTTTCAGGTACCAATTTCCTCAGCCATCCTCAGATAAGAACATTTGTATAGTGAAGCTAAAATAAACTTGCAGAAGCCATTTGATGTGGCCTCCTGCCTCTGGAGGAGAAGGAAGTGCACCACAGAGGACGCATGTCTTCACATCAGTGTTTCCTCTACCTTCCATTCACAACCAGAGAGAATTATTACTCTGAAATAAGTTCTTCCCCTAGACCCAAACCAATTCTCTATGGATGTATTCTGAGCCATATTTTCCCTCTTTGATCTTCTCTGGAGAACCTATCTCTTATTTAGGCATGAGAAATCGGGGATCTCAAAGTTCAAGGGTCACCTGGTCCAACTACACATCTGCTTTATAAAATACCATCCCAGCCAGTGGGTCATACAGCAGGAAAGGGAATTCAGTTCATTCTGGGGTGGTCCGTTCATCCTTGGACAGCTTTGACCAGGAGAAATGTTTAACCTGAATTCACCAAAATCTGCCTTCCAGAATATTCCATGCTCTGTTTATAATCCCAGCCATCACAACAGCTTCAGTGTTCAATACCATCTCATTTCTTCCCCAGCCCTTGCACATGCTCCTACAACACAGTAGGCTTTTAAGAAACATTTGTTGAGTGAGTAAATGAATGTTTATGTTCTTGCCTATGGGAAGGCACTTTGTACCTAGGACATCCATGAAATATAATCTGAGTTTTCTCCAGGCTAGAAGTCCTTAGCTCCTTTACTCATTTTTCACAAGGTAAGTTTCAAATTTAATACCTATACAGTTCCTTTCCTCTGATTTTTTTCCAGCATGTCTAAATCCATCTTGGTAAACAACCAAAAAAATTAAACATACACAAAAAAATACATTTATGTATATACAAATCTATATAATCATAAGTGTGTATAAAATTCAGCTTAAATACACACATATGTGTAAAAATTCCATATAAAATATGTTTCTAAATAAAGCTACATCAAGGTATACAGCATGAGTAAACAAAAACAAATTAAAATAAGTATCATTAACTTATAAAACTATGCTTTGGCGACCAAGTGCAGTGGCTTACACCTGTAATCCCAGCACTTTGGGAGGCCAAGGTGGTCGGATCATGAGGTCAAGAGATAGAGAGCATCCTGGCCAACATGGTGAAACCCCGTCTCTACTAAAAATACAAAAATTAGCTGGGCATGGTAGTGCACACCTGTAGTACCAGCTACTTGGGAGGCTGAGGCAGGAGAATTGCTTGAACCTGGGAGGCGGAGGTTGCAGTGAGCTGAGATCACACCACTGCAGTTCAGCCTGGCAACAGTGCAAGACTCCATCTCAAAAAAAAAAAAAAAAGAAAAGACAGAAAGAAAGAAAGAAAGAAAGAAAGAAAGAAAGAAAGAAAGAAAGAAAGAAAGAAAGAAAGAAAGAAAGACGGAAAGAAAATGCTAATCATCAGATTCTCCAAGGTCAAATTGGAGAAAAAAATATTAAGGGCAACCAGAAAGAAAGGTCAAGTCATCTACAATGGGAAGCCCATCAGACTAACAGCAGACCTCTCCGTGGAAACCCTACAAGCCAGAAGAGATTGGAGGCCAATATTCAACATTCTTAAAGCAAAGAATTTCCATCCCAGAATTTCATATCCAACCAAACTAAGCTTCATAAGGGAAGGAGAAATAAAATCCTTTTCAGACAAGCAAATGCTGAGGAAATTCATCACCACCAGGCCTCCCTTGCAAGAGCTCCTGAAGGAAGCACTAAATATGGAAAGGAAAAACCAGTACCAGCCACTACAAAAACACAATGAAGTACACAGACCAATGACACGATGAAGCAACTACATTAACAAGTCTGCAAAGTAACCAGCTAGCATCATGATGACCGGATCAAATTCACACATAGCAATATTAACCTTAAATGTAAATGGGCTAAATGTGCCAATTAAAAGACACAGAATAGCAAGCTGGATAGAATTAAGACCCATCAGTGTGCTGTAATCAGGAGACCCATCTCACATACAAAGACACACATAGGCTCAAAATAAAGGGATGGAGGAAACTTTACCAAGCAAATGGAATGCAGAAAAAAGCAGGGGTTGCAACCCTAGTTTCTGATGAAATAGACTTCAAACCAACAAAGATCAAAAAAGACAAAGACGGGCATTGCATTAATGTAATGGGCTCAATTCAACAACAAAAGCTAACTATCCTAAATATATATGCACCTAATACAGGAGCACCCAGATTCATAAAGCAAGTTCTTAGAGACCTACAATGAGACTTAGAGTCCCACACAGTAACAGTGGGAGACTTCAACACCCCACTGTCAATATTAGATCATCAAGACAGAAAATTAACAATGATATTCAGGACTTGAACTCAGCTCTGGATAAAGGGGACCTGGCAGATAGCTACAGAAATCTCCACCCAAAAACAACAGAATATACATTCTTCTTGGCTCCACATGGCATTTGCTCTAAAATTGATCACATTATTGGAAATAAAACACTCCTCAGCAAATGCAAAAGAGCTGAAATCATAAGTCTCTTAGACCACAGCACAATCAAATTAGAACTCAAGATTAAGAAACTCACTCAAAACCATGCAACTACATGGAAATTGAACAACCTGCTCCTGAATGACTTCTTAAATAATGAAATTAAGGCAGAAATTAAGAATTTCTTTGAAACTAATGAGAACAAAGAGACAGTGTACCAGAATCTCTGGGACACAGCTAAAGCAGTGTTAAGAGGGAAATTTATAGCACTAAATGCCCACATCAGAAAGCTAGAAAGGTCTCAAATTGACATCCTAACATTGCAACTAACAGAACTAAAGAACCAAGAGCAAACAAACCATAAAGCTAGCAGAATACAAGAAATAACCAAAATCAGAGCAGAACTGAAGGATATAGAGACATGAAAAACCCTTCAAGAAATTTATGAATCCAGGAGGTGGCTTTTTGAAGAAAATAATGGAATAGATAGACTACTAGCTACATTAATTAAGAAGAAATGAGAGAAGAATCAAATAGACATCATAGAAAACCATAAAAGGGATATCACCACTGACCCCAAAGAAATACAAACAATTGTCAGAGAGAATACTATAAACACCTCTAACCAAATAAACTGGAAAGTCTAGAAGAAGAAATGGATAAATTCCTAGATACATACACCCACCCAAGGTTGTACCACGAACAAGTTGAATTCCTGAATAGACAAATAACAAGTTCTGAAATTGAGGCAGTAATAGTCTACCAAGCAAAAAAAGCCCAGGACAAGGCAGATTTACAGCTGAATTCTACCAGAGGTACCAAGAGGAGCTGGTACCATTTTTTCTGAAATTATTCCAAACAATTGAAAAGGAGGGACTCCTTCCTAACTCATTTTATGAGGCCAGCATCACCCTGATACCAAAACCTGGCAGAGATACAAAAAAAACAAAAGAAAGAAAGAAAGAAAGAAAATTTCAAGGTCAATATCCCTGATGAACATCAATCCAAAAATCCTCAATAAAATCCTGGCAAACTGAATCCAGCAGCACATCAAAAAGCTTATTTACCACGATCAAGTTGGCATTATCCCTGGGATGCAAGGCTGGTTCAACATATGCAAATCAATAAACGTAATTCATCACATAAACAGAACTAAAGACAAAAACCATATGATTATCTCAATAGATGCAGAAAAGGTATTCAATAAAATTCAACATCTCTTTATGTTAAAAACTCTCAATAAACTAGGTGTTCAAGGAACATACCTCAAATAATAAGAGCCATTTTTGACAAACTTACAGCAAATATCATACTGAATGGGCAAAAGCTGGAAGCATTCCCCTTGAAAACCAGCACAAGACAAGGATGCCCTCTCTCAATACTCCTATTCAACAAGGTATTGGAAGTTCTGGCCAGGGCAATCAGGCAAGAGAAAAAAAAAATAAAGCATATTTAAATAGGAAGAGAGGAAGTCAAATTGTCTCTGTTTACAGATGACATGATTTTATAATTAGAAAACCCCATCATCTCAATCCAAAAATTCCTTAAACTGATATGAAAATTCAGCAAAGTCTCAGGATACAAAATCAATGTGCAAAAATCACAAGCATTCCTATACACCAAAAATAGACAATCAGAGAGCCAAATCATGAATGCACTCCCATTCACAATTGCTACAAAGAGAATAAAATACCTACAAATACAGCTAAAAGGGAAGAGAAGGACCTCTTCAAGGAGAACTACAAACCACTCCTCAAGAAAATCAGGACACAAACAAATGGAAAAACATCCTATGCTCATGGATAGGAAGAATCAATATCATGAAAATGGCCATACTGCCCAAAGTAATTTATAGATTCAATGTTATTTTCATTAAACTACCATTGACGTTCTTCACAGAATTAGAAAAAACTACTTTAAAATTCATATGGAGCCAAAAAGAGCCCACATAACCAGGACAATCCCAAGCAAAAAGAACAAAGTTGGAGGCATCACGCTATCCAACTTCAAACTATACTACAAGGCTACAGTAACCAAAACAGCATGGTACTGGTACAAAAACAGACATATAGACCAATGGAGCAGAATAGAGAACTCAGAAATAAGATCACATATGTACAACATCTGATCTTCAACAAACCTGACAAAAACAAGCAATGGGGAAAGGATTCCTTATTTAATAAATGATGCTGGGAGAACTGGCTAGCCATAGGCAGAAAATTGAACCTGGACCCTTTCCTTACACCTTACACAAAAATTAACTGAAGATGGATTAAAGACTTAAATGTGAAACCCAAAACTATAAAAACTCTAGTAGAAAATCTAGGCAATACCATTCAGGACATAGAGACAGGCAAAGATTTCATGACAAAAACATCAAAAGCAATTGCACTAAAAGCAAAACTTGACAAATGGGATCTAATTAAACTAAAGAGTTTCTGCACAGCAAAAGAAACTATCATCAGGGCAAACAAACAACCTACAGAATGGGAGAAAATTTTTGCCATCTATGCATCTGACAAAGGTCTAATATCCAGAATCTACAAGGAATTTCAACAAATTTACAAGAAAAAAACAAACAACCCTATTAAAAAGTGGGCAAAGAACGTAAACAGACAGTTCTCAAAAGAAGACATTTATGAGGCCAACAAACAAACGATAAAAAGCTCAACATCGCTGATCATTAGAGAAATGCAAATCAAAACCACAATGACATACTATCTCATGACAGAATGACAATTATTAAAAAGTTAAGAAACAACAGATGCTAGCAAGGCTGTGGAGAAATAGGAACACTTACACTGTTGGTGGGAATGTAAATTAGTTCAGCCATAGTAGAAGACAGTGTAACGATTCCTTGAAGACCTAGAACCAGAAATACCATTTGACCCAGCAATTCCATTACTGGGTAGACACCCAAAGGAATATAAATCATTCTATTATAAAGATACATGCATGCATATTTAGGTTGATTCCAAGTCTTTGCTATTGTGAATACTTCATTGCAGCGCTATTCACAATAGCAAAGACATGGAATCAATCCAAATGCCCATCAATGATAGACTGGATAAAGAAAATGTGGTACATATATATGATGGAATACTATGCAGTCGTAAAAAGGAATGAGATCATGTTCTTTGCAGGGACATGGATGGAGCTGGAAGCCATTATTCTCAGCAAACTAATACAGGAATAGAAAACCAAACACCACATGTTTTCACTTATAAGTTGGAGCTGAACAATGTGAACACATAAACACAGGGAAGGGAACAACACACACTGGGGCCTTTCGGGGAGAGAAGGAGGAAGGAGAGTATCAGGAAAAATAGCTAATGCTGGACTTAATACCTAGGAGATGGGATGATCTGTGCAGCAAACCACCAGGGCGCACGTTTACCTATGTGACAAACCTACATATCCTGCACATGTACCTCAGAACTTAAAATAAAATAAATAATAAAGTTAAGTATATGGTCTATCTTTTGCATTGTACATTTTTCACTTAAAATTAGATTGTACAAAATTTTCATATTATCATTCATCTTTACTATTATTATTTCATTGGCTTAATAGTACTCTATCAATGTGATATAACTATTTCCCAATTCCTGGCGATTTAAAATGTTTCTAGTTTTCTGTCTTAGAAATGTTGTTAAGAATATTAACATAAGTATTAATTTCTTCCTAAGTATCTTGCCAAATTTTAAAATCTTCCCTTCTTTCTATTATCATTTAAAATAATTTTTCATTTTCTATGTGGATGAGTTTTGTTTATATTTATGCTATTTATTTCCAATGTTATAACAGTGTAGTAAAAAAAAAGCCTATAAAACTTTGACTTTTAATTAAAATTATTCATTAAGCCCTAACACATAAATTTTATAAATGTTGCATATGTACTTTAAAAGATACAACCCCATTTTTAAATGACTAGCATTTCTTTTATTTTATAAATATTTATAAATACCTAATTGATGCCAGGCACTGTGCTGGGACTGGTGATACAAAAGTGAACAAGGCAGATCCTTGCCCATATGGGGCTTAAAGTCTAGCTAGGAGTAAAGAAGTAGAAAAAAAAACTTGGATGACTGTGATGATTGGACAGTCCGAGGCACTAGTACCCTTAGATCCAAGCATAAAAGGACCTCTGCTCTTATCCCAGGTTTCAGAGAACCTCATCCAGGCCTGCCCTGAGCTGTGTTCCTCTCTTCTAGGCAAAGAGAGAGGCACACGGGGTGAGGGGATATCTGTGGGCATCCTGGCATGCCCATCTGGAGCCCACAACCCCCATTAGACCCACCTCTGGGGGCCAGGGATACTCGAATTCCCTGCTCAAACAATACAAACCTGCTCCCACAGGCAGAAGAGGTCCACCCTCCTGAAGACTGACTTTGTTTTTTGTGTGTCCACCAATGGGTGACTATTTAGGGGAGATAGTGAACAGTTTAAATGCTTGGTCTGGGTTGTCCAGGCACATACAAGAAAAGCCCCCTTCTGAAGTTCTGGATGGAGGCAGAAGCGGGAAGGAAGGGTAAGGGGCGACAGACAGGACAAGCAGCTGGAAGCCATTTCTTCCCACAGTCATGTTCCTGCACAGAACTCCAAGGATTCTGAGAATTCTAATTTGAACCTAGTTTTCCAGGTGGTTTTGAGGATATATTTGTCAAGGTAGGAGGATAGAACATACTTTGTTTAATGGTTTGTTAGCTTGATTTGTAGTTTTAAAATATTTAGACATATGGGATGTGGGCCTTCCTTTGAATTCTTACCCCAGGCCCTGCAAATGTTGGGGTACGCCTGGTACAAGGTGCTATGGGGACACCTAAAAGAAAGATCTAAACTTATAGGAGGGAGTCATAGAAAGCCTCTCAAAGTAAGTCATGGTTCAGTAGAATAGGTTCAGCCACAGAATATTCTACTTACGTAATCTACATTTATAGTCTAAAGATGGAAAATCACATGCTCATCTTAATAAGTGTCAAAAATGCATTCGATGAAATTCAAGAAACAGTTGCATTCAAATTAACTTAATGTTCTAGAATAACCATATGATTACCATAATAAATGATATCTGTATGAAGCTAAATCCTGACATCATACTTAATGGTGAATATTAGCAGTTCCCTTTAAATTTAACCAAAGACAAAGATGGAAATATTTAACATGGGTGTTGAATTTCTAACCAGTTCATTTTGGCGGATGTTAATTTCTTTTTTCCTTTTCTGGTAATCTCACGAACGGTTTTATGTGAGAAGATCTGTGTTTTCATTTACTCCACCACATTTTTAAAGTTCTTTACCTTGTTCTGGTCTTTTGTCATTGTTGTTTCTGGTCTAGAGTCCCTTTTTAAGGCATGAGTTTCATAAAATTGCCCCCTGCTTGTTAAAATACACATTCATTTATCACAAACTCTCCTCTTTAACGATTCAATGGAAGTCTCAGTTTTGTTCATTATGATTTTGTATTTGTTTGGTCAACCATTGCCTGGAGCTGGTGCTTAGACCAGGAAGCGACTCATTCTCCCAAATGGTTCTTGTGTCTGGGTTATTGATCTGCATCAGCTGGAGGCAAGTAGCATTCCCCACACCATCCAGTCTTGATGCATAATCCGGAACTTGGCATAGGAATAGAATGGTGGTGGAAGTTCTGATCTGGCTGACTATGAGGAACAAGCGGTTAATCTAATATAAACAAGTTATATGGCATTTTTAATTTGAGTATGAATACAAGTCTATTTTAAAGTTGTTTGCCTGGTCACTGCCAGGCATCTGCTAGCTACCGTGTTTTCAGCTTCTTTCTCTCACAAATTTCTAAGCTAGAAATCTACAGATAAGATTTTGATATTTTGATATTAGGGTTCAAAGGATTATTATTAAACAATGCCCAGGGAGAGACAGGCCATCTTTATGAAGCAGCAGTTTGGGTGTTGCCTTCCGATTCTCTTTCAAATTTTACAACAGAGCACTTGCAGGCTGGGATGCTGCTGCTTCTCACAGTGTACCTTCAGAGAAAGTATCTCTTTCCAAGCCTGTATATCATTCTTTTCTTCTCCAACAATTCAGGACTTGTGATAATTTTTTGGACATCAAGCATATGTATGCAGAACTCTTGCACATTATGCAAAAGGCAGGACTTTCAGATGTGTGCTTTTGCTGCTCCCTGCTTTTATAAACTGTTGGTCCTCCCTGCATTTTATAAGTTAATAAATCAGGGAATTCATTCAGAATTTGTCTAATGGTGCCCTATCCACTTAAACTCAAAACCTTGGCAAGATTAGAAATTGCCTAAAACTAGTTCTTCCATTAGTCATCAAATATAATTTTGACAATGAAAGTGATCTCTGAGATCACCCCGTCCATAAAATTCCCCACAGCGGCTTCCTCATACTGCTCCACTGGGCCTCACTTTCCCGTCATCCTCATCCTTCCTCTCTCCGCCATCACACCCCCAGCTCTGTCTCACAAAGAACAACCAAATAGCAGGTGAAAGGCACAAGATGTCTTCACCCAGCATTGTGGCGTTTCAACATGAAAAACCTGTCCTTGGTTTCTCCACCTCTAAGGGAAATACTCTGTTCAGCCCTGCAGTTTGCTTGTTTGCTTTCTGACTCTTTTCAGTCTTTGCCTAGTCCCTAACTACTCAACCCTCTGAGCAATTTGTCTATTCTTTTTTGATTCCTCCCTTCTGAAAGATACTTCGGTGGATTCTGATAAAAGGAACCTCAGTCTGGGCCTAAGGAATCTTTTACTTTATGGCAGTGCCAAAATACAAGGGGTGTGTT
The DNA here is from genome assembly GCF_000001405.40 of Homo sapiens. Lineage (NCBI taxonomy): Eukaryota > Metazoa > Chordata > Mammalia > Primates > Hominidae > Homo > Homo sapiens. The sequence goes on along the minus strand of NC_000003.12, from coordinate 173,080,163 downwards.
CTGTCCTCTCCTAGACTTCTGTTCTAGAAAATCAATTCTCACTAAACACCACACACTGAGTAATCAAGAAGAAAGAAATTAAAACCACAAATAATTCCATGATCCAGAGAAAAACATTATTGGTACTTTAGGATATAGTGTGGTAGGGGGCATATTTATGCTGAACAATTATTTATCTAAAATTCACTTTAGGCATTGCGTATTTTTATTTGCTTAATCTGGCAACTCTATTACAGCTCTTATCCCAGCAGGCTGGTTTTCCTTTACATATCCTCACTAATAATTCCACATTTTTAAAAATAAAAAAAAAACAGTAGAAGAGTATTTCAGAAATAAGTTTGCTCAGGAAATTTATAACATTTTATCACCCATGCACTGGGATGGAAAATTTTATCTCTTTCCTTTGTTGATTTGTAGTATGTTAAAGAAAATTAGAGTGATTTTAGTTTACAGGTTTGTGTTGTTGATTAGGAGTTAAAACTTCAATATGTGCTAACTGGCTAACCGGTGCATACCACTTCAGTTCATTCTGAGTACTAAGTGATGATAAAATATTTTTATTTAGAAGTAAATAAAAAATAAAGTTGCCAAAGTAAAATCTTACGGGGGAGATAAATTCACATGAAAAAGATATAACAATAACATTACTTTTACTTCCATATTGCATTTAAAAAGTAAGAAATACAATTTATGTAACCCTCTGGAAAAGGGAAAAAATGTTATTTTAGCAATAATCATAGGATTTTTTGGAAGGAGAGGGTATTCTTTCACTTTATTAAGCTCTAATTTTTTCACTTATTTTAACAGAAGATTTCATCTTGCCCATGGTTTTTCTTATTTATGTTCACCATAACATTGTCAACAATGCACTCCTTGGACCTAGAAGTGATTTCACGTCATAATGATGACTGCATATAAGATATCTGTGACTTGTCAAGCTCACAAGAAATACAGGGAATTGTACCTGAACAATTGCCCTATCTATATCAACTCACTGTCAGTCTTTGGACAATAACATATTTCACACAGTAACTTTATAAATTTGGGCACCTAGAGAAATTCCTTAACTAAAGCATTTTCAGGGTGACTTGACAGATGACATTGACAATAAACACATTTTTAGGAATAACGTGGACAAAGTTTCAAAAATGGGTTTATACTGCAAACTTTTTCAAGTCCTTTTAATTAGTGTACCATAATGGATGAAAAATAATGGCATGAAGATTTCCTCCTACTTGTCTGCAGACCTGTTTTCTTCTATTCCTCATTACCAAAGACTAATACAGAAAGCAGTCATAAAGGTTGGGCAACAGAAAATTGTCTGCGTCTGCTCACTGGATGTTTTCAGAAAGTGCCGTGGCATCAAGGGCTCACCAAGAGCTGATGGAAGGTCTGCAATACTAATTAGGGAAAAAACAATTCTCATTCATCTGGCTTGTTCTGATATCACTTCTTGGCAGTAAAAAGAGACTAAAACAATGTGCAAATGTGACGGTTGGGAAGTCAAGTTAGACTGGAAACTTGATATCATTTCTCCTTTCTGGTCACCCATTGTTTATGGTGTTTTGAATATTATTTTAGGTATTGAAAACGATTTTGCATGGTCAGAATCACAATATGATGTGGCAGCAACTAAAATCAAAATCAATGCATGTTCAATCAATTCAGTTCAGTCTTTGACTATATTTAACCAACAGATACGTTTTTAGCCAAGAAATTCCCCATTCTAAAAATATGATGCTTTTAACTCTGTTTTTTCAATACATTTGTCCTCTTAACATTGCCATTGACCGTTAAGAGTCAGATTCCTATAGAGAGATGTAGAAATTTCCTGTCTAAGAGCCAGTATTGCACTAACAGTATGTTAGTAGCCAGTACTTAAATACTACAGTATTTAAGAATGCAGTGGTTAAGAGCATACCCTCTGGGCTCTGAGCTATGTGAGTTTAAATCCAAGCTCAGTCATTTACTAAAGCGTTGTGATGATGAAGTTATTTAAATTTCTCAAGCCCAATTTTTTTTATCTATAAAATGAAAATAATATAAGTAACTATCTCCTATTGTAATACAAGTAAAGGGCTTAGCACAATTCATCACATATGTAAATAATAAATAATTGCTATTGTCATTACTATAAAATATTGTTTATATTATAGCATGTCTCACTATAGAGGTGCTTTAATTATCACATTTCCTCATGGGTTTTCTTCCCTCGCATATGACTAGCCAAAATATTAAGGTAGAAATATTTATTTTCTTCATACATTTTCTCCCAGGGCTGCCTCTCAGTAGCAAATAGGCAAACAGGAGATTGGAAGTGACGTCTCCATGTTAACCTATATTTTCTAAGCAAGGTCAGTACAGAAATTCACCTCCTATATGTCTGGGTGAATCTTTCTCTTTCTTTCAGAAATGGAAAACATTTTCACAGAGCCTTTAGGAGACTCTGATATAAGGGTATTAGTTGGTGAGAGAGAAAGTAATCGTTCTCTTCTTTGTGCACTTGGACTGAGCCATGAAAGTAAGTTATCACCCGTTCTCACATTCCTTGAAATCCTGATTAGTTCTCTAGCAAAAGTACTTCTTTCTGTTATATCTCACCACCGGCTCTGGGAAGCAGCATGCCTGCTTTTACACTGAAACTCAAAGGTGTGCTTTAAATAAAGTTTTATCCTCCTATGGAGGAATGACTTGCATGTACTATAGAAACTTAGTTTTCTCTGCATAAATCCATAAATAATGCTTGAAATTCCCTTTCAGGAATTCCGATCCCTTTATTATTGCTTTTATACCTCTTTTCTCCTAAAGTATTTAAATTTGAAAACAATAGGGTTTTTTTCTAGATTCCCGCTGCCTTCTACCATTTTTCAAGTGAAGAAGAAAGTCTAACTTATGAACTGTATACTTGGAATCAGAAAACAAACTTTGTGAAAAAAAATTCAGAAAAAAAGTGTAGAAAGATACAGAAAAGCACTGAATTTTAAATTAGAAGAATTATTTTTTGTTTCTTCCTTAGCTATTTATGAGCCATATGATATTGAACAGATCATTAGATCTCTCTAAATCTAGTTTTATTACCCACAATATGGGAGACTGGCCACCCAAATTGCTTCTTGGAGCCTCAGCAAAGAGAAAATAATATCATGTACGTAGAGATGTTAGATCAATTCCAAAGCTCCATTCATATATTTTTAGCAGTATGGGATTAACAATTCACATGCTCTTCAGAAACTCTCTAAAGGTTCTGAGGATTTGCTGCCTGTTATAATCAGAGAGCATGCACTTCCTGGCCAAGCAGGAAGGATCAGAGTTCACTACAGCCAGAACATCCTGAACCACATAATCCTTCCATTAACTTTAGGGTACAGTGATAAAAGGGGATTTATGCAAAAACATACTGACATTTTTCCTGAAAGATTAGTGAATAATTTTCCTTTATCCTATTTTTAAGAGCAAACTCTTTAAAAAGTCACAATATTGACTAATATATTTCCCTCATCTATATAATATAATATCTTTTTCAAAATTTTTATTATCCCTGAGTGGCTATAAAATCTCAGCTGTTTAAAATAATTTTTTTAGACTTATAGCATTCAATAAAAATTTTAGGTGTGAAAGATATTTTCTACTGAGATGAAACTGTCCCAACCTCATGGATGTTTTTTAAAAAAAGTCTTACTCACTATAGCATAGCCTCAAAGTGTTAATTTAAACATGCATTCTTAGAGGAAAAATATACATTTGTGTGCTGATTTAAAAAAAAAAAATTTTATACTAACCAGGATTTCAGACCTGGTGTAACGGCGTGGATTAAATGAGCTCAGAACTACATTCTTCCTAGACCTAGAAGTATAATTCTCTTGGCATTCACAAACGTCAATTTCTAGTATTCTTTAAATATGCACATAAACACCTCTGAAATACTTAAAAAGAAAATTTTAAAAGATAGCGAGACATGCCTGATTTCGCGAACTTAAAAGTAACATGGGTAACATATAAATAGAAATACACCATACTAGTTCATATAAATAATATATTGTCTTGTGATAAGATGTGCTAAACCTGCTTCTTCCTTCTTGTTTACTTTTTATTTTTTACCATTATGAGTACATGATAGTTGCACATATTTACAAGGTACATGTGACATTTGTAATGATCAAATCGGGGGTAATTAATGATCAAATCATAGGGGTATTCATCACTTCAAGCATTTGTCATTTCTTTGTGTTAGGAATATTCCAATTCCACTCTTTCAGTAATTCTGAAATATACAATAAAGTATTATTAATTATAGTCATCCTATTGTGCTACCAAACACTACATCTTATTTCTTCTATCTATATTCTTGTATGCACTAACCATCCCTCTTTATCCTTCCATCCCCACTACCCACACCAGCCCCTGGTAACCATCATTCTACTGTATATCTCCATGAGTTCAATTTTTCTTTAGCTTCAACATGTTAGTGAGGACCTGTGATATTTGTCTTTCTGTGCCTGTCTTATTTCACTTAACATAATGTCTTCCCGTTCCATCCCTGTTACTGCAAGTGACAGGATTTCATTTTTTATGGCTGAATAATATTCTATTGTGTATATGTACCACATTTTCTTTATCCATTAATCCATTGATAGAACTTAGATTGATTCCATATCTTGGCTATTGTGAATACTGCTATAATAAACATGGAAGTATATCTCTTTGATATACTGATTTCCTTTCTATTAGGTATCTATCCAGCAGTGGGATTGCTAGGTCATATGGTAGTTTTATTTTTAGTTGTTTGAGGAACCTCCATACTATTCTTCATAGTGATTTTACTAATTTACATTCTCACCAACTGTGTACAAGGGTTTCCCTTTTTACACATCCATCCTCAGCAGAATCTGTCATTGACTGTATTTTTAATAAAAGCCATTTTATTTTCTCATTTTATTTTTAAAAATTTCCTCTTCTACATTTTATATTGTTATCTTTTTTATTTCTCCATGAAGGCCTTTTTTTTTTATAATTTCAACTTTTATTTTAGATTCAGGGTGTACATGTGCAGTTTTGTATATTGCATGATGCTGAGGTTTAGGATACAAACGATCTCATCATCCAAATAGCATAGTACTCAAAAGTTAGTTTTTCTTTTTTTCTTTTCTTTCCTTTTTTTTTTTTTTTTTTTTGAGATAGAGTCTTGCTCTGTCACCTGGAGTGGCATGGTGCAATCTTGGCTCACTGCAATCTCTGCCTCCCGGGTTCCAGTGATTCTCCTGCCTCAGCCTCCCAGGTAGCTGAGATTACAGGCATACGCCACTATGCCCGGCTAATTTGTGTATTTTTAGTAGAGACAGGATTTCACCATGTTTTCCAGGCTGGTCTTGAACTCCTGATCTCAGGTGATCCACCTGCCACAGCCTCCAGTTAGTTTTTCAACCCTTGTCCCTTTCCCTCCTTCCCCCATCTATCAGTCCCCAGTGTCTATGGTTGCCATCTGTATTAGTCCGTTTTCACACTTCTGATAAAGATATACCCGAGACTGGGTAATTTATAAAGAAAAAGAGGTCTAGTGGACTCACAGTTCCATGTGGCTTGGGGACAGGGGTCTCACAATCATGGTGGAAGGCAAAAGGCACGTCTTACATGGTGGCAGACAAGAAAGAATGAGAGAACCAAGCAAAAGTGATTTCCCATTATAAAACCATCAGATCTCATGAGACTTATTCACTACCACGAGAACAGTATGGAGAAAATCGCCCCCATGATTCAATTATCTCCCACCAGGTCCCTCCCACATGTGGGAATTATGGGAGCTACAACTCAAGATAAGATTTGGATGGGGACACAGCCAAACCATATCATTTCACCCCTAGCCCCTCCCAAATCTCATGTCCTCACATTTGAAAACCAATCATGCCTTCCCAAGAGTCCCCCAAAGTCTTAACTCATTTCAGTATTAACTCAAAAGTCCACAGTCCAAAGTCTTATCTGAGACAAGGCAAGCCCCTTCCACCTATGAGCCTGTAAAATCAAAAGCAAGTTAGTTACTTCCCAGATATAGTGAGAGCATAGGCATTGGATAAATACACCCATTCCAAGTGGAAGAAATTGGCCAAAACAATGGGGCTAAAGACCCCATGCAAGTCCGAAATCCAGCAGGGCAGTCAAATCTTAAAGCTCCAGAATGATCTCCTTTGACTCCATGTCTCTTATCCAGGTCACACTGATGCAAGAGGTGGGTTCCCATGGTCTTGGGTAGCTCCGCCTCTGTGGCTTTGCAGGGTACAGCTTCCCTCCCAGCTGCTTTCACAGGCTGGAGTTGAGTGTCTGCAGCTTTTCCAGGAGCACGGTGCAAGCTGTCAGTGGATCTAGCATTCTGGGGTCTGGAGGATGGTGGCCCACTTCTCACAGCTTCACTAGGTGGTGCCCCAGTGGGGACTCTGTGTGGGGGTTTCAACCCCATATTTCCCTTCTGCACTGCCCTAGCAGAGGTTCTCCATGAGGGTCCTGCCCTGCATCAAACTTCTGCCTGGACATCCAGGCATTTCCATACATCCTCTAAAATCTAGGCAGAGGTCCCCAAACCTCAATTCTTGACTTCTGTGCAACCCACAGGCTCAACACCATGTGGAAGCTGCCATGGCTGGGGCTTACACCCTCTGAAGCCACAGCATGAGCTGTTCCTTGGCACCTTTTAGCCATGGCTGGAGCAGCTAAGTCCCTAGGCTGCACACAGCAGGGTGTCCCTGGGCCCAGCCCATAAAACCATTTTTCCTCCTAGGCCTTCAGGCCTGTGATGGGAGAGGCTGCCATGAAGGTCTCTGACATGCCCTGGAGACATTTTTCCCATTGTCTTGACCATTAACATTTGGCTCCTCGTTACTTATGCAAATTTCTGCAGGCAGCTTGAATTTCTCCTCAGAAAATAGGTTTTTCTTTTCTAGTGCATTGTCAGGCTGCAAATTTTCAGAATTTTTATGTTCTTTCCCTTTTAAAACTGAAGGTTTTTAACAGCACCCAAGTCACCTCTTGAATGCTTTGCTGCTTAGAAATGTCTTCTACCAGATACCCTAAATCATCTCCTTCAAGTTCAAAGTTCCACATATCTCTGGAGTAGAGGCAAAATGGCAAAATGCTGCCAGTCTCTTTGTTAAAACATAGCAAGAGTCACCTTTACTCCAGTTCACAACAATTTCCTCATCTCCATCTGAGACCACAACAGCCTAGATTTCATTGTCCATAACATTATCAGCATTTTGGTCAAAGCCATTCAGTAAGTCTCTAGGAAGTTCCAAATTTTCTTACATTTTCTAGTCTTCTTCTGAGTCCTCCAAACCATTCCAATCCCTGACTGTTAACCAGTACTAAAGTCACTTCCACATCTTCAGGTATCTTTACAGCAGTTCCCCATGCCCAGTGCCAATTTACTGTATTAGTCCATTTTCATGCTGCTGATAAATACATGCCTGAGACTGGGTGATTTATAAAGAAAAAGAGATCTAGTGGACTCACAGTTCCACATGTCTGGGGAGGCCTCACAATCATGGTGGGAGGCAGAAGCCATGTCTTATATGGTGGCAGACAAGAGAGAATGAGAGAACCAAGTGAAAGGCATTCCCCTTATAAACCCATCAGAACTCATAAGACTTATTCACTATCACAAAAACAGTGTGGGGAAAATTGCCCCCATGATTCAATTATCTCACAATGGGTCTCTTCTGCAACATATGGGAATTATGGGAGCTAAAATTCAAGATGAGATTTGGGTGGGGACACAGCCAAACCATATCACCACCTTTGTATTCATGAGTACCCAATGTTTAGCTCCCACTTATTAGTGGGAACAGGCAGTATTTGGTTTTCTGTTGCTGCATTAATTCACTTATGATGATGGCCTCCAGCTGCATCAAGGTGGCTGCAAAGGACATGATTTTGTTCTTTTTTATGACTGCATTATATTCCACGACATACATGTGCCACATTTTCTTTATCCAATCCTCTGTTTATGGGCACCTAGGTTTATTCCATGTCTTTGCTACTGTGAATAGCACAGGGATGGATGTGTGAATGCATATGTCTTTTCTGTAGAATGATTCATTTTCTTTTGGATACATATCCAGTAATGGGATTGCTGGGTCAAATGGTAGTTCTGTTTTAAATTAGTTGAGAAATCTCCAAACTTCTTTCCACAATGGATGGATTAATTTACACTCCCACAAACAGTGTATGTCTTCCCTTTTCTACATGGCCTCACCAGCATCTATTGTTTTTTGACTTTTTAAAAATTGCCATTCTCACTAGTGTGAGATGGCATTTCATTAACGTTTCTATTTGCATTTCTTTGATGATTAGTGACGTTGAGCATTCTTTCATGTTTTTTGGCCAGATAAAAGCCATTTTAAATGGGATGTAATGATATCTCACTGTTGTTTTAATTCACATTTTTTTATCTGATGATTAGTGATGTTGAGCATGTTTTCTTATACCTGTTGGCCATTTGCATGTCTTCTTTTGAAATATGTCTCAGATCTTTTGCCCATTTTTTAATTAGAATATTTGTTTTCTTCCTATCAAGTTTTTTGATCTCCTTATATATTCTGGTTTTTAATTACTTGTAAGATGGGTAGTCTGCAAATATTTTCTCCCATCCTGTGGGTTGTCCCTTCACTTTGTTGCTTTTTTTCCTTTGTTGTGCAGATATTTTTTAGCTTGATGTGATCCCATTTGCCCATTTTTCCTTTGGTTACCTGTGTTTTTGAGGTCTTACTCAGTCTTTGTCCAGACTAATGTCCTGGAGTATTTCCCCAATGTTTTCTTCTAATCGTTTAATGGTGTCAGGTCTTATATTAAAGTCTGTAATCCATTTTGAGTTAATTTTTGTATATGGCAAGAGATAGGAGTCTAATTTCATTCTTTTGCATATGGATATCTAGTTTTCTCAGCACCATTTATTGAAGAGACCATCCTTTACCCAATGTATGTTCTTGGCACTTTGTCTAAAATGAGTTGACTGTAAATGCATGGACTTATTTCTGAGTTCTCTATTCTGTTCCATTGGTCTATATGTCTGCTTTTATGTCAACATCATATCATTTTGGTCACTATAGCTTTCTAGTATAATTTGAAGGCAGGCAATATGGCGTCTCCAGCTTTATTGTTTTTTCTCAGGATAGCTTTGGCTATTCTGGGTCTTTTGTGGCTCCATATAAATTTTAGAATTGTTTTTTATATTTCTGTTAAGAATGTCATTGGTATTTTGACAGGAATTCCATTAAATCTGTAGATTGCTTTGGGTAGTATGGACATTTTAACCATATTGGTTGTTCCAAACCATGAACATGGAACATCTTTCCGGTGTTTTGTGTCCTCTTCAATTTCTTTCATCAATGTTTTATAGTTTTCATTGTAGAAATCTTTTACTTCTTTGGTTAATTCCTAGATGTTTTATTTTATTTGTAACTATTTCAAATGGGATTGCTTTCTTGGTTTCTTTTTCAGATTGTTTGCTGTTGGCATATAGAAATGCTTCGGACTTTTGTAAGATGATTTTGTATCCTGCAATTTTGCTGAATTTGCTTATCAGTTCTAACAGTTTTTTGGTGGCATCTTTAGATTTTTCTAAATGTAAGATTGTATCACATGCAACTAAGGCTAGTTTGATTTCTTCCTTTCTAATTTGGATGCCCTTTGTTCCTTTCTGTTGTTTATTTGCTCTGACTAGGGCTTCTAGTACTATGTTGAATAAAAGTGGTGAAAGTAGGCATCTTTTTTTTTTTTTTTTTTTGAGACAGAGTCTTGTTCTGTTGCCCAAGCTGGAATGCATTGACATGCTCTTAGCTCACTGCAAACTTTGCCTCCTGGGTTCAAGCAATTCTCGTGCCTCAGCCTACTGAGTGGCTGGGATTACAGGTGTGAGCCACCACACCTGCCTAATTTTTGTATTTTTAGTAGAGATGGGGTTTCACCATATTGGACAGGCTGGTCTTGAACTTCTGGCCTCAAGTGATCCACCCACCTTGGCCTCCCAAAGTGCTGGGATTACAGGTGTAAGCCACTACACCTGGCTGAAAGTGGGTAACTTTGTCATGTTTCAGGCCTTAGAGGAAAGGTGTTCAGTTTCATACTGAAAGTCCCCTTTCAATATGATATTAACTGTGGATATTATATAAATGGCTTTTATCAAGTTCAGGCCTGTGCCCTCTACACCCAGTTTTTTTTTTTCGTCTTTTTATCATGAAGGGAATGTTGAATTTTATCAAATGCTGTTACTAGCATCTATTGAAGTAATCATATAGTTTTTGTCCTTTATTAAGTTGATATGGTGTATTACATTTATTGATGTGTGTATGTTGAACTATCCTTGCATCACAGGGATAAATTCTACTTGATCATAATGAATGATCTTTTTAATGTGTTGTTAAATTTGGTTTGCAATTATTTTGTTGAGGATTTTTGTATCTATGTCCATCAGAGATATTGGCCTGTAGTATTCTTTTTTGGTTATCTCTTTTTCTGGTTTTGGTATCAGAGTGATACTGACCTCATAGAATAAGTCTGGAAGTATTTCCTCCTCCTCAATTGTTTAGAATAGTTAGAGTAGGAATGGTATTAATTCTTCTTTGTATATTTGGTAGAATTCAGCAGTGAAGTCATAAGGTCCTGGGCTTTTCTTTGAATGACAGACTTTTTATTATTGCTTCTATTTCATTACTTGTTATTGGTCTATTCAGGTTTTGGATTTCTCCATGGTTCAATCTTGGCATGTTGCATGTGTCTAGAAATTTATCTGTTTCTTCTAGTTTTTCCAATTTATTGATGTATAGTTGCTCATATAGTCTCTAATGATCCTTTGAATTTCTGTGCTATCAGTTACATTGTCTCCTTTTTTGTCTCCAATTTTATTTATTTGGCTCTTCTTTCTTTTTTTCTTAGTCTTGCTAAAAGTTTGTTAATTTTGTTTATCTTTTAAGAAGCCACTTTTCATTTCATTATGTGTTTTGTTTTTAGTCTCAATTTCACTTATTTCTGCTATGAACTGTATTTCTTTCTTTCTTTTTTTTTTTTTTCTTGAGACGGAGTCTCGTACTGCTGCCCAGGCTGGAGTGCAGTGGCACCATCTCAGCTCACTGCAAGCTCCGCCTCCCGGGTTCACGCCATTCTCCTGCCTCAGCCTCCCGAGTAGCTGGGACTACAGGCGCCTGCCACCACGCCCGGCTAATTTTTTGTATTTTTATTAGAGACGGGGTTTCACCGTGTTAGCCAGGATGGTCTCGATCTCCTGACCTCGTGATCCGCCCGCCTCGGCCTTCCAAAGTGCTGGGATTACAGGCGTGAGCCACCACGCCCGGCCTTTTTTTTTTTTACTAATTTGGGGTTTGGTTTGCTCTTACTTTTCTAGTATTTAACAATATATCATTAGGTTGTTCATTTGAAGTTTTTCTACTTTTTTGATGTAGGCATTTATTGCTATAAACTTCCCTCTTGGCACTGTTTTTGCTGTATTGCATAGGTTTTAGTAAGCTGTGTTTCCATTTTCATTTGTTTCAAGAAATTTTTCAATTTTCTTTTAAGTTTCTTGAAAACCCCCTGGTCATTCAGGAGCATATTGTTTAATTTCCATTTGTTTGTATTGTTTGTCTCTGGTAGTATATTTTAACTTCTTGCTTTTTATTCTTTTTGTATCTGTTATAGGTTTTGTTTTGTGGTTACTATTATGATTGCAAATAACATCTTATAACCAATTATTTTAAACTGATAACTCTGATTACAAGGAAAAGAAAAAACAAAGAAGCAAATAGAAAACTACAAACTTCTACACTTCAACCGTTTTCTCCCACTTTTTGACTTTTTATTGTCTCTATTCATATATTTTATACTGTCTATATCTAAATAGTAGTTGTAGTTATTATTTTTGATAGGTTTGTCTTTTAGTCTTCCTACTAAAGATATGAGTGGTTTAAACATTGCAATTACAGTGTTAGAGTATTCTGTTTGTTTGTATACTTACTATTACTAGTGAGTTTTATACCTTCAGATGATTTCTTGTTATACATTAACTTCGTTTTATTTAAAATTGAAGAACTTTCTTTAGCACTTCTTTTAAGACCAGCCTAGAGTTGATGAAGTCCCACAGCTTTTGTTTGTCTCCTTCATGTTTGAAGGATAATTTTGCTGGATGTAATATTCTATGTTGAAAGTTATTTTCCTTCAGCACTTTGAATGTCATTCCACTTCCTCTTGGCCTGTAAGGATTCCATTGAGAAATCTGCTGCTAGGCATATCACAATTCTTTTTATTTTTATTTGTTTCTTTTATCTTGCTGCTTTTTGGATTCCTTCTTTATCCTTGAGCTTTGAGAGTTTGATTACTATATACCATAGTCTTATTTCTGTTGGATCTGCTTGTCGTTCTTTGACTTTCTTGTACCTGGACATTCATGTCTTTCTATAAGTTTGGAAAGTTCTGTTATTATTCCTTCAAATTAATTTTTACTCCTATCTCCCTCTCTACATCTTCTTCAAGGCCAGTAACTCTTAGATTTGTCCTTTTTAGGCTTTCTTTTTTTCTTTTTTTTCCCAACTTTCATTTTAGGTTCGGGGGTATGCGTGCAGGTTTATTACATGGGTAAATTGCATGTCAAGGGGCTTTAGTGTACAAATAACTTTGTCACCCATGTAATTAGAATAGTGCACAACAGGTAGTTTTTCAATCCTTACCCTCCTCCCATTCTCCATCTTCAAGTAGGCCCTAGTTTCTATTGTCCCCTTTATTGTGTCCATGTGTACTCAATGTTTAGCTCCCACTTATAAATGAGAATATGTGGTATTTGTTTTCTGTTCCCACATTAATTCGCTTGGCATAATGGCCTCCAACATCATCCATGTTGCTGCAAAGGATTCTTTTTTATGGTTATGTAGTATTCCATGGTGTATAGGTATCACATTTTCTTTGTTCAGTCCACTGTTATTGGGCATCTAGGTTGATTTCATGTCTTTTTGGGGGTTATTTTCTAGATCTTGTAGGTCCGCTTCATTCATTTTTATTCTTTTTCCTTTTTCTCGTCTGATTGTATATTTTAATATAGACTACCTTTGAGCTCACTAAATCTTTCTTCTGCTTGATCAATTTTGGTATTGAGAAATTCCAATGCATTTATCAGTTTGTCAATTGAATTTTTCAGCTCCAGAATTTGTTTAATTTCTTATTATTTAAAAATCTTTGTTTCTCTAATGAAGTTCTTAATTCCTTTCCTGTGTTATCTTAAAGTTCATTTATCTTGCTCAAGACAGCTGTTTTGAATTTTCTGTCTGAAAGTTCACATATCTCTGTCACTCCGGGAGTGGCCACTGGTGCCTTATTTAGACCATTTGATGAGGTCATGTTTTCCTGAATGCTCTTGCTGCTTATGGATGTTTGTTTATGCCTGGGCATTAAAGAGTTAGGTATTTTTCTAGTCTCTGTAGTATGGGCTTGTTTGTGTCTATCCTTCTTGAGAGGGTTTTTTATGAATTCAAAAGGGATTAAGCATTGTGACCTAAGCCTGTGGTCACTGCAGCCATTTCAGCACTAGGTAGTGCCCTAAGCCCAGGACTACTGTGACTCTTGCAGAGTTAAATACCCAGCCTTAGTGGACTTGAGTAAGATAAGGAAGAATTCCCTGGCTTACTAGGAAATGTCTTTTGCTCCCTTCCCTCTTTCCCCCAGTCAGGAGTCTCTCCATGCTGGGCTGCCTGGAGTTGGAGGAGGGTTGACACAGGCACTCCCGAGGCCATCATAGCTGACACTGTGTGGGGTCACATCTGAAGTCTTGCAGACAAGAACAATACTGGGGCTCACCCAAGGCCTGCAACCACTACTGCCTGGCTGCTGATGATGTTTATTCAAAGCCCAAAACCACATTAGTCAGCAGATGTTGAATTCTGTCAGGATGGATCCGTGCCAGGAAGCCAGCAGTTCCCCTTCTGGCCCAGGGTGCATCTAGAAATGCTATCCAGCACCAAATGCCTGAAATTTGGTGCTTCAGAAATCTGGTGCTCTATTTTACTGTGGCTGAGCTGGTATCGAAATTGTGAGGCACAGTCCACTGCACTCTTCTTTCTCCTTCCCCCAAGTGGAAGGAGCACTGCCTGGATTTGGGGGAGTGGAGATGCAGGCATTCCCTTGACTACCATGGCCAGTGTCTCATAGCTGCATGCACCCCAAGTACACTGCCTCTGGGATCAGTGCAACACCATGGCTTGCCCTAGAACGGCGGTCCTTGTAGCCTGACTACCACTCAAATTCATTTCTGGCCCCAGGCCACTTTAGTCAGCTGGTAAATAAAACAGCTGGAACTCAGGCTCCTCATACTGGGTCAGGGAATTCCCCTCTGGCCCAGGGCTGATCTAATACTCCAGCAGATTTCTGCCCTATGTTGTGTTCTGTTGTGACAGGGCAGCACTGAGTTTCAATGCAAAGCCCCACACTCACTTTACTTTCCCTCCCGCAAGCACACAGATTCTTTCTCTGTGCTGCTTTGCCTGGGGTTGGAGGAGGAGTGGTGTAGGCAATGCAAGACTTTCTTTTCTGCCCTCTTTAATACTGCTCTCCATGATACTGTGTTCAAACCAGGTGTTTGTGGTTGCTCACCTAATATTTTTTTGGTTCTTATGAAAGTGATTTCCTGTGTGGGTAGTTGTTAAATTTGGTGTTGTTGTTGGGGAACAATTGCAAAAGTGTTCTATTTGGCCATCTTGCTCTGCCGCCTATCTCCCTTAAATTCTTGTTAGAAATACTGATCTCGAAATTGGGATATTAACCAGATGTCAGTACCATTTGAACTAAGAAGCAACAGAGATGGAAGTTGCCTTAAGAGAGCATTTCTCACAATGAATTCCACAAAACTATAGGTCCTCAAGATGTTCTTTAAAAAAAAAAAAGTGTTTCTTGAAGGAAGGGGATTCTGTTGTCAAATAAGTTTGTGGACTGTTGTATGCCATATATCTCTCTTAAATATCTGCAATATGCATCAGTAGGTTAAATGGTTTTAGTAGCCCTACAATGAAGCATATCACAAGCTTATTTGATCTGAAAAACTTTGTTAACGTAATAACTCCTTAACATCCTGTAGAACAGACAGTTTCAGAACAGTTCTTTTTTTCCTGAAAGAACTTGTGGTACTAGAAGAAAAGGAAGAACAATAGTTGTAGAGACCCACTTGTGTCATAACTCACACTGTACACCTTCACATGAGTTGCAGATGAGAAATTTAGAAAAGAAATTCTTAGAGAAATAGATGTATTCCTCTGCTTGTAATAGACAAAATTATCAATCCCGATTTTTCATCATTCCCCTTCCTGCCAAGTCATCACATTCTGTATCTACACTCTGGCAGTGTTCTTGGGTCTTGACTTTGGGCTTAGCTATAACCAGTGGGATGTTAATGGATCTGAAATAAGCAAAACTTTTAATATGCTTGCACAGTTGTCTTACTCTCCCATATTCCTGCATTTTCCATGAGAAGAACATGTCTCATGAAAAGCATACATCTGCTGTTGTAAGTCCTAGTTAACTTAGAGTTAACTCCATCCTAGAGCTAGGCTTGGCTGAACACAGCTAAGATTGCCCACCCTTAGTCCAACCTGCAGATGTGTGGACAAGATTACATATTATTGTTGTCAATGGGTTTTTGAGTGGTCTGTTTTGCAGTATTTTAATGACAATTGCTAAATAATGTACAGGGAGTTTGTGCCAAAATACTTAATACTGCTATAAATGTACATGAAAGCTGGGATTAAAATCAAGTGATGTATCATAGAGGATTGAACTTGAGGATTATTGGTTTTTTTAATTCCCTTCCTTTTTTTTTTTTTTTTTTTTGGTGTGCGTGTGTGTGATGGAGTTTCGCTCTGTTGCTCAGGCTGGAGTGCAGTGGTGTGATCTCGGCTCACTGCAACCTCTGCCTCCCAGGTTCAAGCAATTCTCCTGCCTCAGCCTCCCGAGTAGCTGGGATTACAGGTGCGTGCCACCATGCCCAGCTAATTTTTTTGTATTTTTAGTAGAGACAGTGTTTCACCATGTTGGCCAAGCTGGTCTAAAACTCCTGACCTCAGGTGATCTGCCTGCCTCAGCCTCCCAAGTGCTGGGATTACAGGCATGAGCCACTGCACCCAGCCTCACTTCCATCTTCTGTATGTCACCTTCCTTTTTCTATCCATAAATCTTCTTCCACCCAGTGGCTGCACTGGAGTCTCTGAGTCTACTCCAGCTTGGGAGGCTGCCCAATTCACGAATCATGCATTACTCTATTAAACTTTGTAAAATTTCATTCAGCTGAAGTTTTTCTTTTATAAGCATATAACTTTTTAATATCTAATTTGCCTTAGTTTGGTTATTCCAACATTTCTAAGCAAAATATACACTCCCAGACAGCCCAATTTTCCCCACTTACATTTAAGCAAAATGACGTTATGAAAAACATTTAATTAATGGAAATATAAATTGGAAAAATCTGTAGTAAATCTGCAGTTTATATATTAAGGCAAAAGGCCTCATAAAAGCTCAGTTATTATCCAATGTCCTAAAAATATTAACTTTTGTCTTACTACTGTTCAGCAAAAGAATAGACTAGAAACTCCCCTGCCTAGTGAGCTGGCGGTTCTGGCATGATAGACGTTGGCTGACCAGGCTGCTCACTGCTACTAACCAAGGCCTTCATCACCGGACCCAGACCAGGACCCCTGTGATCTTGATAAGAACCGTGCCCCTTTTCTCTCTGTAAAACCTCCACCATCTCTTCTTTTTCTCACTCTGACCAACCGTAGAGTCCTTCTTCTTTCCACTTTTGCATGTTCTAGCCTTCTCTGCTTCTTGAATTAGTGAACTACCTACTTCATTTATAAAATAGGTGATTGCAAGACATAAGTGATTAATGCAAGTAAAAGTGCCTTAAATTGTTGCTCAATACATGTTGACCTATCTCTTTTCCTGCATATCCTATATTCTATTATTTCCTCAATGCTACTCTAGTGATATATAGATATAGATGACATGGATATAGATATAGATGGTATATAGACAAATATAGACATGGATAAATTGGTCATAAATTAAGAAAGCAATATTAGTAATAGCTGTTGGAATTCACATTTGTTCCTCTAAGACAGGGGTCCCCAATCGTGGCCTGCTAGGAACAGGGCCGCACAGCAGGAGGTGAGTGGGGGGCCAGCGAGCATTACTGCCTGAGCTCTGCCTCCTGTCAGATCAGCGGGGGCATTAGAGTCTCATAGGAGTACAAACCCTATTGTGAACTGTATATGCGAGGGATCTAGCTAAGTTGTGAGCTCTTTATGAGAATCTAACTAATGCCTGATAATCTGAGGAAGAACTGTTTTGTCACGAAACCATCCACCCTCCAACCTGTCCGTGGAAAAAATGTCTTCCAGGAAACCAGTCTCTGGTGCCAAAAACATTGGGAACCACTGCTCTAATATTTAATTGTGACTAACATTCATGGCCAGTTGAGAAGCAGTATTTTATACTACCTAGAGGACATAGGATCTAAATGAGACAGCAAACCTGAATTTCAATCATAGCTCTAACACTTATTGTCTGAAAAGTTAGTCAGTCTTATCTCATCAGAAAATTTGGGGTTATAATATTAAATAAGATTTAATAAGATACCGTGTATATATTTAATGGGATACAATGTATAAAGAGCTTAAGTCAATGCTAATTACATAGTCAGCACTCAGTAAATGCTAGCTATTAGTCAAAGTACAAGAGCTGAGTTTGCATGTGATAATGTATTTATTTTACAATACAAATAACTACCTTAAAATAAACATACTACTAACATTTTAATTTTAAAGTCATTACTCTTATGAGTTAAAACACAAGGCAAGGAGGGAAGAAGGTTTATTATTTTAATTCATCTCACTCCTGTCATATTTCCAATCTGCTTTTCACATTAGGTAACTGGAATTTAGTGGTCTCTGAAACAAAAACTCTGAAGGTTAATGTGTATCATCTACATGCTTCAGAGCATAAGCAAATTACTAGTTGGTCAGATCAAGGTAAAAAACAGTGGAATGAACCCACGGTGGCCACACCTCTATTTTAAGGCTACCTGGCAAAAAAAAAAAAAAAAAAAAAAATGTTGAAGCACAGCTATTTTAACAAATAGGAGTAGGAGTGATTAATTACTTTTTACTGTCATTCAATAGCTTGTCACTCAGGGAGTAACCTCATTTGGCATAAATTTAATAGAGATCACATCATGGCCTACTTGACTGAAAAGCATTGCTCCTGAAACTCTGATAGTACTTTTAAGTCCACTGATGTATGAATATAATTCTTCACATCTCTTAGCCCTACATATTCTGTCGCTCCCAGGGAGACACTTTAGTAGATCTATGAGGTACCATGTAGAAAGTTACAAGTGATGAGCTTGCTGATTCATTCCTCTTTCAAGTAACAAAATGATGGAAAATGTAAAACCAATGGGTGTTATTCTACAGTGTAGAGCTTCTTTCCACCCTGTTAAGGGAGTATAAAAAGATATTTATTGAAATTGAAAACTATTAATTGCAATACCCTTGATGTCTTGAACATTTAGTTTGATATCTGAAAAGAAATTTTAAAGATCCCATTAAGGAATCTGCAGGTTAGGATGGTGGCTAATTGTTGTGCATAATTCTCATCCCTCCATATACATTAACCCAAGGGAAGAGATTTTTAAAAAGTACAATAACTATGAAAATCTATGAAGCACCAAGTGAAATTTCTGAAAACCAAATCCCCAAGAAAGAACGGCAGATAAAAAGTAGATTGTTACCTATATCCATTGCATGCCCAACTCAGAGACACAGGACCCTTGCAACTAGAGTGCCAACAGTATCTGTTCTCTTCTGCTCAAGGACTTATATCTGAGGCTCTCAGTGCTATTTTATCCCCTAGTTAGTATCTCTCTCTGTATATCCACGTACAAATGTTAATCTCATTTATCATGTCCAAGGTGGAAATGGACAAGTGTGGTATACTTCACTTTGAGATATGATGTTGATAAGAAGAGGTGGTGAAATAAAGAGTAGTGAACTCTGGTGACTGAAGTCTGGGATTCTTTTTCCCCTTCCAATTCTAGCAAAGGAAGTTCTATATGTAAAAGATCTAACAGCACTGTGGTGAGTTGCAGGAGAACCTAGAAAAACCACCAACTCAATCTATTAGCAATCATTTGGCTTGGATTAATCTCTTATTATACGAAGATAGACCTTTGAATAGATGCTACATAGTGAAAAAAATGGAAGCATTAAACTCAACTGGAATCCGGAAACCATATTTCCAAAAGAAAAGCATTGAGAGTCATAAAGAAAAGGTCTACTGAATTTCAAACAGAGGTGCTACGTAGTAAGATTTAAAAAGTAGTGAGTAGCTTAAGACACCTAGCATGATACAGAGAACCTTCTATTTAACAAATCAATTCTAGCATCTGCTATCAATGGGGGCAAATCACTAGATCTTTTAGCACAGAGTTTTATACCTGTAAAATAAGGCAATAGTAAGTGTTTTATTGACTTCATGGAAATTCTGAGAAATTAAGTACAATTTTGCAAATGAAAATATCTTAGAAATTGTAAAAATTCTTTAGTAATGGAATCTTTAACATTGTTTATTTTTAAAGCTTATCCTCCACATTTACAATTTGATCTTATCTCATATTGGTTCTTTGCTTATTGCATCTAATTTAAAATTCATTCTGTAATTTAATTTTTTTATAATTTTCATTTTTCCTCTAATTCCCTAATTTAAATTACTTTTTCAAAATAACTAAAAGAATACTGACTTTTAAAATTATTTTTTATATTTTGATTCAAGAGAACATCCTTAGGATTCAGTGTTGGACCTTCTCACGTCTCCATCTTTGGCTTTGTTTCTTTTTTTGGGGATGGAGTTTCGCTGTTGTCACCTGGGCTGGAGTGCAATGGCACGATCTCAGCTCACAGCAACCTCTGCTTCCCAGGTTCCAGCAATTCTCCTGCCTCAGCCTCCCGAGTAGCTGAGATTACAGGCGCCCGCAACCATGCCCGGCTAATTTTTATATTTTTAGTAGAGACCGGGTTTCACCATGTTGGCCAGGCTGGTCTCAAACTCCTGACCTCAGGTGATCCACCCACCTCAGCCTCCCAAAGTGCTGGGATTACAGGCATGAGCCACTGTGCCCAGCCAGCTCTGTTTTTTCTACATTAGCTTCATTCTCAGACTGACTTTCCTCCACATAACAAAGGAGAGTCACTCAAAATGCTGGGCTTTCTGTGCAGGTGTAATAGCTGTACGTCAAAAAAAAAAAAAAAAAAAAAAAAAAAAAAAGCTACCAAATGGGATAGAGACATTTATCCAGAGGAGTTCATTTATGTGGGATGGGAAAAGAAATGCATAACATGTCCAAACCCCATGCTTCCATGGCTGAACTCACAGAAATTAACAACAAAAAATACAAATCATAAAGGAACTAAGCAGATAATCCATAAATGATTAAATATAATGAGTAACAAATATGCAAAAAAGGTCTAATCTTACAAGTAACTAAGAAAAGTAGGTGGTAAAGTTTTTAAAAATAATAGCCCAAACTTTCTTAACTAACTCTTCATAAAAAAGCTGGAAATAAAAGCTGTGAATTTTTTCCTAAGTAAAGCAAAGAAGCATACAACAAATTTATATATAAGAAAAAGTAAGATAATGAGTAAGAAAAAGTAAGATAATGAATAAGAAAAAGTAAGATAAATGAGCTAAGTATTCAACTAAAGACATTAGCATACTATCACATTGGAGATGAAGAGAAAAAAAAATAACCAAAAAAAAAGACATTAGTAAAAGAACTAAGAAAACAAAAACCTAAGGAAATCAAAAGAGGAAAGAAAAAAAAAAGCCAAGATAAAAGCCAAAACTAATGAATTAGAAAGCAGAATACAAGACTTAATCAATTAATCTAAGAGTTTGTTGTTTTTAGAGAAAACACAATAATCAAACCTTCCGCAATTCTAGTTAAGAAATACAGTAAACAAAACTACAAAGTGCTAAGAATGAGCCCCAGGGGATGACACCACTAGCACACAGGCATTCTGAATGTTCTAAGAATATAATGTTCTCTACTGTAAGGACAAATTTTAAAATATGAATAAAACCTATGATTTTCTAGAAAAATATAAATTAACAAAATTAATGCAAAATGTGGAAAACCTGAACAGAATGATTAAAAAGGAAAAAAAAAGGTGAAAGGAGCTGGGCTTAGACTTTTTCAACTATTTTAGAATGTTTCAGAGTATTTAGAAAGATGGCAATCTTTCCAATCTTTCCAGTTTGTTTTATAAAGCTAGCATAAGCCCAATAACAAAACATAACCTTATAATAAATGACACATTTTTTAAAATTAATTATATATTTACTAAATAAAAATAAGTGAACAAATTTAGAACAGCCTAATGTAAAAGGAATAAAATTTATGAGCAAACAGTATACCCATACCCATGGCCGATAAACACAGGAGACTGAGCTAGTAATTGATTTTGAGGTGAGGTGCCATTTTTGTCCATCTAATTATCAAAGAACAAATACAGTAAAACATTGCTAATATCTAGTGTAGGTACTAGTATATAGAAACAAGAACTTTTACCTTGTTGCAAAAGTGTAAAACTTTTCTGGAGAGCACTTTTATGATGTATATTCTAAAGTATTAGTATTTTCTGGATTCAATTGTATACTCCTGACTCAGCAACTCCAATATGTAAGCATACATTATAACAGATAGAATATAACAATTTGAAAATGATCAAACCCGTGGGCAAGATGTATACACACGGCTGTTCATTGTACATTATGTATGATACTGAGAATTTTCAATGTCACTAGAAAAATTTCTCATTAGGGAAACCATTAAATGGAGATCTAATAAAATTATGCAGCCACTTATAATAATGATATATATATTTATTAACATGAAAATGTTCATGATATATTCAGAGAAACAAGCAGATTACATAGTAGTATGGATAACAATACCATCTTTGTAAATGGATGGATAGAGATAGATAGAAATTCATATAGATTTAGTCACACTGTAGATATAGATATATCCATGATAGTATCTAATGGTGGTCCCTTTTTAATAATAGAATTTTGAGGGTCTTTTCTTTATAATTTCTGAATTATCTAAATTCCTAACAGGTTGCTAGAGTTGTTTTCTCTATCTGTCATGAAGAACTAGTTCTACTTTGTTGTATTTCTGTCCCAATCTGTTGTGGACCAAGACTTTGTTAAATATAGGAAAAAAGAATTACTAGGAAAAACGAAGTAAAAATAAGACATAAAAATACAAATTCTATTTGTTTATTATGAGATTTAATAGATGTAATGTTTTTCTGTTGATTTGCTGTAAAAGTTTCTAAACGCTTACTCCGTTTCTGTACTTAATGTGGATCTGTAGTTAGTTCATTGAATGGTACTGTGTGGCTCTGGTGCGTGATTAAACGCACAGACTCTAGGGCCAGATGTTTGGGGAGAATCCCACATACTAAGTTAGCAGTATTTAAATTTTTGCATTTATTATCACTAGCATTGGCTTATAAAATGAACTATAAAGTAAATAATGAAAATAAAGTGAATGATACAGCCAACAATCTTGAAGCACTCTCCTGAAAGAGGTGAAAAAAATCAGAGAGCCTAATAGATAGGAATAATAGCGGTGAAAGATGCAGCTTAAGAATTATTTTCTTAAGAAAGAAAACACTATAGGCCAGGTATGGTGGCTCAAGCCTGTAATCATAGCACTTTGGGAGGCCGAGACGGGAGGATCAAGAGGTCAGGCGATGGAGACCATCCTGGCTAACACGGTGAAACCCCGTCTTTACTAAAAAATACAAAAAAATTACCCAGGCGTGGCGGCGGGCACCTGTAGTCCCAGCTACTCAGGAGGCTGAGGCAGGAGAATGGCGTGAATCCGGGAGGCGGAGCTTGCAGTGAGCCAAGATCTCGCCACTGCACTCCAGCCTGGGCCACAGAGCGAGAATCTGCCTCAAAAAAAAAAAAAAGAAAAGAAAAGAAAAGAAAATACTATAGTTGAAATGGTACCAATAATCAGAGATGTAACCGAAGAAAACTTTTCTAAGTTAGAAAAATAAATACGTGAGTATGCAAACACAGAAGTTATCTTTTTTCAGGCAAAATACATGAAAATAGAACATATGTGGACTCACGGTAGTAGTAATTTTGAGTTATAAAAAGAAAAAAATAGTACACATTTGGGGGAAAGGAAGAAACTTCAACATAAGAAGTTATTTTAAATTATGCCTGGTTTCATTTAAAAAACATTATTTTTTTTCTTGTCTGCATGGGAAATACCATAATGTAAATGGCGATCTATGTATTTACAGAAAAAATGATTATGTCCCAAAAAATGTATACTCAACCACATTTCTTTTTTTTTTTTTTTTTTTTTTTTGAAACAAGAGTCTCACTCTGTTGCTCCAGGCTGGAGTACAATGGCACTATCTCGGCTTACTGCAACCTCCGCCTCCTGGGTTCAAGAGATTCTTCTGCCTCAGCCTCCCTAGTAGTTGGGGTTACAGGGGCCCGCCACCACTTCCAGCTAATTTTTGGTATTTTTAGTAGAGACGGGGTTTTACTATGTTGGCCAAGCTGGTCTTGAATTCCTGACCTCAGGCGATCCACCCGCCTCGGCCTCCCAAAGTGCTGGGATTACAGGCGTGAGCCACTGCGCCCGGCATTTCTTACATGTCAGCAACATACATTCTCAACTATTCATGAACTTAGAAAAGTTACCATCCACATTTGCTCTTTTTGAAAAAAATTACTTGTAAATAAGTACTAACAAACTAAAAGATCATTAAGAAAAACAAAAACAAAAATGACAAAGTCATTATACAAAAGGACTTGCCAATTTCCTTCTATGAATATCACTAAACACAATCCTCATTTTATAGCAAACATCCTAAAACAACAGACATAATGATGAAGATGTGGAGGGGCTGATGTATGCTTCTATAATGGCTTGTGAATGAAACTTCAAAACAAACCTCATTATGAGTTGTTACTCCTTATTATAGAAATCTATCTATAATTTAACACAGTAAAACCTTATGGAAAATTACTTCCTTTAGATACGATTTATCCTCTTATCCAAAACCCCAGTTAAACATGATTAAAATTGTCCTGAATAAAATAAAGGAAGGAATAAAATTAAATACATCTAATTTTTAACATTATTATTTTTAATTAAATTTTACTTTAAGATAGTTATAGATTCATAGGCAGTTGTAATACAGAGAGATCTCATGTACCGTTTATGCAGTTTCTCCCAGAGGTAATATCTTGCAAAACTAGAATATTAACACCAAGGCAATCCACCAAACTTAAGATTTCTCGTTTTACTTGCACTTTCACTCTTGTATGTGTGTGTGTATTATGTCTGTGCAAGTTTATGACATGTAAATCTGCATATCCACCTACCAAATTCAAGATACATTACAGTTCCCTCACTACAGGATTCATTTTTGTTGACTTTTATAAACACAACACCTATGCAGTCCCTAGCTCCTCATTATCAATAATCTGTTCTCCATTCCTATAATTGTGTCATGTAATCATATTGTATGTAACAGTTTGAGATCAGATTTTTTTACTCAGCATATTCCCTAGAGATTCATTCAAGTCACTGCATGGATCACTAGTTGGTGCCTTCTCACTGTAAAGTAGTGGTCTTAGTATGGATGTACTGGTTTGTTTAATCATTCATCCATTGAAGGACATCTAGATCACTTTCAGTTTGGAGCTATTATAAATGAAGTTGCTATGAACATTCTTGTACAGATTTTTGTGTGAATATAAGAATGTCTCTGGAGTAAGTGTCCAGGAGTGCAACTATTGAGTTTCTCCATATTGTTTTCTCTAGTGACTGTACAATTTCACACTACTATCAGCAATGTAGGATGGAGCAATCCATTTTCTCAACATTCTCAGTTTTTGCAATCCATTTTCTCAACATTCTCAGTGGTGTTGCCACTATTGTTTTATTTTAGCCAGTGTGTAGGTGTGCAGTGATACCTCATTGTAGTTTCAATTTGCATTTCTCTAATGAATAACATCAAACATTTTTATGTGCTTATTTGCCATATGTATGAAATGGTTGCTCGTGTCTTTTGTTCACTTTCAAATTAGATTATTTTGGGGTTTTTTACCATTGAGTTTTTATTCCATTATAGTCAGAGAACATGCTCTGAATTATTTCAGTTTTCTCATTGTGTTGAGGTTTGTTTTATAGCCCAGGATATGGTCTATATTGGTGAATTTTCTATGGGCATGTAAGAAAAATGTGTATTCTGCTAGTGAGTGGAATGTTTTACATATGTGTTTTCTTTCTCTTTTCTTTATTCTTAAAAAAAAAGGATACATGTGCGGAACGTACAGGTTTGTTGCATACGTACACGTGTGCCATGGTGGTTTGCTGCACCTATTGCCATGTCCTCTAAGTTCCCTCCCCTCAAACCCCACCCCCAATAGGCCCTGGTGTGTGTTGTTCCCCTCTTGGTGTCCATGAGTTCTCAGTGTTCGACTCCCATTTATGAGTGAGAATAGGTGGTGTTTAGTTTTCTGTTCCTGTGTTAGTTTGCTGAGGGTGATGACTTCCAGCTTCATCCATGTCCCTGCAAAGGACATGATCTCATTCCTTTTTATGGTTGCATAGTGTTCCATGGTGTATATGTATCACATTTTCTTTATCCAGTCTATCATTGATGGGCATTTGGGTTGGTTCCATGTCTTTGCTGTTGTAAATTGTGCTATAATAAACATACATGTGCATGTGTCTTTATAGTACAATAATTTATATTCCTTTGGGTATATACCCAGTAATGGGGTTGCTGGGTCCTGTGTTTTTTATTCATATATATAAAGTATTTATGTATGTATGTCAGTTACATCCTGTTGGTTGATTGTGTTGTTCAGATCTATCTTTACTGGTTTTCTTTCTAATATTTCTGTCATTTGCTGAGAGGGGAATATTGAAATCTTCAACTATAATTGTAACATGTAATAATATAATTATAATTAATATACTTTTATTTTCCAATTTTAAAAAAGCAGAGCATATGAAAAATTATGTTGTAAAATTTATGTTGATATAGTGTAAAAATTATGTTGATATATCTTCTATTATGATACAAAAATGCAAAACGTATAGAAAGAAATATGGCAAAAGTTAATGGCAATTATATATATGGTGATAGGGTTATGGATAACTTTCTCCCCATCTTTAGATTTTTTTATAATTTCCAAAAACCTTAAAAATTACCAATTGATGATTATCTATATCCTTATTTGTAGACATTTGATGACTCAAACAATGCCAGCCTTTTCCAGATTTATTGTTCTCTTCTAAATTGTCAGGGATCACTGAAAATTTTATTCCAGTGATACAGTGAGGAAACACTCATCAGACAGAATTTTAATAAGGGAGAAACTATCAGCAATATTAATCTGGATAATGATGATCCTAATTAAAGAAAAATGTGTGGTTGCATTTTTAAGAATGTGGCTCACCATATATTATTTAATATTATTTCTGCAACTAATGTGGTTTATGTTATTTGTATCTGTTTTTAAACAAATCTTGAAATCCTTTTGTGCACAATTTCTAAAAGTAAGTTAGATATTTATTTCTTAAAAGAACTTTGAGAAACCTTATTAAAATTTGAGCTTATGATTCCAATTTAGTACTGACATTTCCTTTTACTATTATTATTATTATTATTAGAGACTGAATCTCAGTCTGTCACCCAGGCTGGAGTGCAGTGGTATGATCTTGGCTCACTGCAAACTCTGCTTCCTGGGTTCAAGCAACCCTCCTGGCTTGCTCACTGCAAACTCTGCCTCATCCTCCCTAGTAGCTGGGAATACAGGTGCCCGCCACCATGCCTGGTTAATTTTTGTATTTTTAGTACAGACGGGGTTTCGCCATGTTGGCCAGGCTGGCCTCAAACTCCTGACCTCAGGTGATCCGCCTGCCTCGGTCTCTGAAAGTGCAGGTATTACAGGGATGAGGCACTGTGCCAGGCCTGAAATTTCATTTTTAACATCTAGGTTCTTATCAAAACAACAGCTATACTCATAAGAATTTAGACTTGCATTTTTTCCTTAAATATTGACTTTTAATTTGTCCATACTGTATTCAAAAATATTTTAGGGTTTCTTTTGAAATAAAAAGTTAACTCCTAACTTAATTTTTCCTACTTAAAAGTCTTCTCAGTGATATACTATTTCAGGTAATTTAAAAGTTTTTATTCCTTATCTCCATGACTTATTTCACCAAAGATTTAAATTATACATTTCTAGACAAATACCCTTTGTTTCAAGGTGAACAAAATCACCCTTCCTAGATTTAAACAAATTCACACCACATTAAGTTTCTTCATCTTCTGGAGAATTAACTGCTCAGTCTATACAAATGTCTATATGGAAATGTTAAAATTTAGTAAAATATCTGAAATGTGTTTCATGGTTCTGATGCCAACATTTTGTCTACATGTACCTATAACTCTACCTTTAACTTCAACACATTGTTTTAACTGTTTGCCTTATTGCAAAGCTTAATTCAAAGATGTACTACTTTGGAAGAGAATAAATAAAGCAATCTTCGATATAGTCAGTAAAGTTGTCAATCTTACAACACTCGATTGGTAAAGCAAGAATTCAACAAACATACATAAAGCCTACCCAGCAGGCTGCCTATTTTCTGATTTTAACATGAATTGAAAAATTATCCTGGTCTTTCACTGCTGTCTTTCAGCTTGGTTTCATGAAGTATTCTCATTAGTGTGTTAAGATAGATCATTTTTATTTCTTTTCTTGCCTTGAATCTTATACAAGCAGAGACTCTTCACTTTCTCTCAGTGTTTATAGACAGTCTTTACTATTATGAAATCTGAAGGTGGCTTCCTCCTGCCTGCCATGAAGAACCTGAATGTCCTCATGGAAACTACTCACTGAATGACTTCCACATTATCCCATAATGACTTCCACATTATCCCACGGTGGCTCACGCCTGTAATCCCAGCGCTTTGGGAGACCTAGGCGAGTGGATAACCTGAGGTCAGGAGTTCAAGACCAGACTGGCCAACATGGTGAAACCCTGTCTCTGCTGAAAATACAAAATTAGCTGGATGTGGTGGCACATGCCTGTAGTCCTAGTTACTTGGGCGGCTGAGGCAGGAGAATCGCTTGAACTTGGGAGGTGGAGGCTGCAGTGAGTCGAGATGCTGCCATTACACTCCAGCCTGAGCAAGACAGAGTGAGACTCTGTCTCAAGAAAAAAAAAAAGTGTGCCTAAAAAGAGGCTCTTCCACACCATCACATCAGAGAGAAACAAGGATAGGAAGGGGCAAAGACCACATACAATGTATATTTTCTTTCTTTTTTAAGATTTTATGTGAAGAGGAGATTTGAGTAAGATTTGAGGAAACAAAGGCTGATTTCATTTAAAGATAAAATTAACTGAGCCAAGCGCCGTGGCTCCTGCCTGTAATCCCAACACTTTGGGAGACTGAGGCGAGCAGATTACTTGAGGTCAGGAGTTCGAGACCCAGCCTGGCCAACATGGTGAAACCCCATCTGTACTGAAAATACAAAAATTGGCTGGGCACGGTGGCTCACGCCTGTAATCCCAGCACTTTGGAGGCCAAGGTGGGTGGATCACAAGGTCAGAAGACCGAGGTCATCCTGGCTAACACGGTGAAACCCCGTCTCTACTAAAAATACAAAAAATTAGCCGGGCGTGGTGGCACTTGCCTGTAATCCCAACTACTTGGGAGGCTGAGGCAGGAGAATCGCTTGAACCCGGGAGGCAGAGGTTGCTGTGAGGAGAGATCGCGCCACTACACTCCAGCCTGGGAGACACAGCCAGACTCTGTCTTAAAAGAAAAGAAAAAGATAAAATTAATTGAGAAGATCTGGAATGTTAATATAAGATATGGATAAATAAAACTACATAATTACTACTAATTTTGTTTTCTATTTATTTGTGTTTTATAGTCATGTCATATAAAAATCTTCCTTTTGTGGAAAACTCTGTTTAGGTATTTCTGGATCCTGTGGGATCAGATTGGCAGAAGAAAGGAGATGCTGTCTCAAATTGCCATCTTCAAACTATCATGCTTTCTAAAATTATGTTTTAAAGCCTGTTTACAGCCACGCTGACACTTCTGAGGTCAGATTCTCTAGAATAATTACTAAATCTGGTTTAAATGTTTTATCTATTTTATTACCAATTTTATCAGGTGACTTTTATGAAGCATCCAAATGTAGCACTGACTGAGGTCATTTCCAGTGTATCTTCCACAAATAGTCTTTGCTAATTTTTTTCAAAATTATTGAGAGTAGTGTTTTATGTATTCTGAGAGCCTTTACAAAACATGAGTAAAAGTGGACACTTTTCCAAAAAATTATTTGAGGGTGAAACCCCTACATTTTATCATTTGTATATTATTACTACCAGAAAAGGGGTAATAGCTTAAATATCTAAATATTTATTATAATTAATAAGAAAAAGATTTACATGTCAATAGAAATAGGCAAGGAATAGGAAAGGGGTATTTATATAGAGCTAAAAATAGACAAGATTTATGAAAAAATCCTAATCAATTCAAATTAAAATGTAAAGAGACCAACTTTGGCAGATAGTAGATGCTCAGTAAGTATTTTTTACTAAATGAAGAAAGTAACATATTTCATTCATCCAACTGATAAAGGGTTTTAAGAACAATATGAATCTCCAGGATTAATAAGATAGCCAAGCAAAAGAAAACAGCATTAGGTAACTACCAATTCAGACTGTGGATACTGAACATCTAGATTCTAGATTTATTTTTTAGCCTTTAGTCTTTTTTAGCCTTTGCTAAGAAAGTAAATGCATTTTAGAACAGAATATAGCCACATTCAAATAACAAACTGCATTTAAAAAATGACAATAGCATTAATATAAATGGCAAAACCGTCTCAAGACTTAACCTATAAAAGAAAATTTATTTTAAACTATGTCATTTAAGCAAACAGGATTTAGAATACAATAAATTTTATACTGAAGGATATATAAATAAGTATTAACTGCAAATATTACTACCTCTGGCAAGAAAATTTCCCCCAGTATATGCATAGATGGAAGTAGAAAAGAGCAAAAAGGCGATATCCTGAATAAGGTCACTAAACATAGATAGGACTTCTTTTCCATCAGCCTTAATTTCAAGGAACAGTAGAATACTCTGAGGGGAAAAAAAAGTGCCGATCTTCCCTTGTCATATTATTGACACTTCATAATGTTTGGGGTTCTCCAAAAAAAATTAATTATTTTCTTTCTCTACAGTTTATCTATGATGCCCAGAAACCACTGACTTCCTGGAATTTTTATTAAGAATTCATATTCTTGCCATGTTTTTCAGATACTGTGTCCTCTGCCAATAAATTCTAATAAATTTTCACTTCTTTTCTTTCAATAACATACTAGAGAATATGATTCAGACTCAAATTAATCACCGATCATGTTAATGGCTCCTAGGAGTTTACTTCCGATACCTCTTATTATATTAAATCAAACTTGATAGTGTGCTAGATCATTGCTCAGCTGGGTTTTCATAAAAGCACTGGTATTTAATATGATTTATGCCTGGCTTTCTGTTAATATCTTTGGTTATTGTGTGCTTTATTTTTAAAACAGACATTCTTAGCAACTGGCACTCCTTTAAAACCTATCATACTTTTAAAATATTTTACAGGAAGGATTTTACAGTACAATGTGTCCCTTATTTTATATTACAGTCACTCACTTAATAGTGAACAGGAACAATTTATTTAATTTATAATCAAAATATTAATATTTTACTTGTAGTTTGGAAAAAGCATCATATATACTTTTAACATATACGCAAAACATATAAGCAAGCATAAGCAAAACATATATAAATAAAACATACACATGTTTTGCTTATTTAAAAGATAAATTATATGAAAGATTATTAAGATGTTGAAAGTACTATATTTTTTAAAGCTTTGCAGCAAAGGAGCAGTTCTGGGAGAACCATTTGATGCACCTGCTGAAGATATAGCAAGCGTGGCAAGTTTCATTGAGACAAAGCTTGTTACCTGTTATCTACGGATGAGGAAACCAGATCTTGCCCTGAATCATGCACACAGGTAAAATCATATACTAATAAGTGCAAGTAAATGCTGTTCATGCTAGTGGAGGGTACTATCTGAGCTTGCCTGATCACCTTCCATCTTATTTCAATTTAAAGAAGAAACAAACATTTATTTACTGCTTGTTTTATGTCAAGTGAGGCAATCATGGAGACCACAAAAATCTCAAAACCTACTGGAAGAAATAGAGACACAAGAAACTATTCATAATGCAGGGCAAAACTAAAAGGCAGACAACTGCAGAAGCAAATTGCTGCGGGAAGAAACGAGGGAGAGAATAGGTAAGTAAGGGAGGTGGTATTGAATCGTAAGAGGGATTGTCGAAATTGCAGTTGTGGAATGGTAGAAGGGAATTCTGACTGTGAAGTATGAGCCAAGACTTGAAAGTTCATGGCTTATTTGGTGATCACATTAGCTGATTCAAAGGATCCTTTGGACAGCTTTCCAAAGGTATGAAATACTTTTTATCTCTGTCCTTAAAATTTTCTTTTTTATATTTCTATCCTTCTTTAGAAGTATGTATCTGTGTGTCACTATATGACTTCCTAGAATCCCCAGTGTTACCCAGGCCTGTCTTTTCTTCTATAAAAGTGTATCTCTCCTGTATTTTATGTTTTAGGGGTCTTTCTCTCATGGATAATAATCAGTTTTAATCTGCAGCAAAGATAAAGTGATTATATTATGCCTTTCAACAAACGCTTTCCTTGAAATTGTGATGTCTCTATCCCTCCCTGCCTGACTTTGAGCAATTTACCTAGAATTTTTGTGTTGTTCATTTTCTCATCTCACATCCTGTACTTCTTTTGGGTACAAATGGCAAACTAGTATCAATATGAACATATAATTCCTGCTTTCTTAATAACCAACTGGGGAACATGATTATCGGTTATATTAAGACTCATTTGTAAATGGGAGATTTATTAGTATGGTAAAAGTCATTTACAAACTCACATCCACTAGGATGTAAAAGTTGTTTCTACCCAAGATATTTCACAGCCCTAGTAGTGAACTTAAACTTGACCTCAAGAACCTACAGACAACAAAATCACTTTGAAATTCACAAGACAACCTGTTTGAAAGCCATTCTCCCTCTTAAGTAAACTACAAAACATAGAGGCAGATTCTCTTTGACATTAAAAGAAAATTTTACTCCCTATATTATCTGGAAACATTTTATGAAACCATAGTTTTAAAAAAAAATCAAGATATATGGTCGGTCAAACAATTTTGTTCTATTTCCATTTGAAAGAAGAAATACTGGAAAAGTAATGTGTATTTCAGTATGTCAAAATATTGCAACTTTTGGGCTATCTGGGTGATTTGTGGGAAAAATACTTGAAAACTATTTACAGACTAAAAAATATTTGATCATGCAAAAGCAAAGAACATAAATAAGTAAAAATTTTAAAAATAGAAACAAACATTTGAAAGCTATTTATAGACTTCAAAATATTCAGAAAATCCATAGGCATACATAAACAATAATAAATTGAGATGCACTAAAAGTAATTATACCTC
This sequence comes from Homo sapiens, assembly GCF_000001405.40. NCBI lineage: Eukaryota > Metazoa > Chordata > Mammalia > Primates > Hominidae > Homo > Homo sapiens. The sequence goes on along the minus strand of NC_000003.12, from coordinate 173,047,427 downwards.
ACCTTCTCCATGGTTATAATCACAAATAAAAAGGGCCGCCTACATGGCCTACATTTTAAAAGAAATATTTCTTGGATATCAGATTATTTTGATGAATTTTTGAATCGTATTTAATAATAAAAGGGTTCCAAATGGCATGGTCATGTCAAAATGTAATTAATTCAATGTTATTAAAAATAAGTAACAGTCTCTGGTAAACAAGAATTCAGTAAAAAAAAAAAAAGTAATGAGAACGAAAGATCAAAAATTCCACTATAATCCAAATATAAGAACCACAAGATGCTGCAATTCCTGAGAATGCAAAGATCAGCTTCAGTAGGTTCACTATTTAGAATTAGAAATGTTCTGCTTTGAAAGTAAGAATGCTTTTTCAAGACCTTGAAAATTACCGAATTTAATGTGTACAACAGTGAATAGTAAAGTTATCTTTCCTATTACGTTACAATTAACTTTTGTAAAATAATTTTTGCTGCTGTTCCTAAGTTGAACATTAAGTAAGAAATGTAAATCAATAAAGGTTAAACAGTCAATTTGTACAATTAATAATGCATCAAGTGAAATAAATCATTTTGCTGGTCTGGTCATAGTGCAGAACTGCATAAGTCAATACATATGATTTTAATATCAAAACATCTTGAAAGATCTTAGATTTTAAAACAGTCTGAAATATAGTCAACAAATGTATTTGATAAAATAAATTAATTAGGATATTTACTCTATAAACAGCTTACAACCATTAGTTATATACTCAATGCAGAATTCTGCTTTTGTATTATTATCACATTGTGAAAGTTGATACTAATCATGAATCAAAATTAAAATATTCCTTTTTTGCATTTATTTGCATTTGCTGAAGCATCTTCTCTGTAATTTTATGTAAATGTGAGGTCTACTGCATATTTTTAGGAGACTTGTTAACACAAAAATTAGCTTAAAAACCATCATGTAGTTTTGCTTCTATTGTTTTGTCATAGAGAAGACTACAAGGACCATAACTTTATGGTTTTAAGATCAACAGAGATACGTTTTGAAATTAATCAGCTAAGCACTGCCATTTAAACTAAAATAGTCAATGATACAAAGGCTCTGAAAACAACTATTATCAAAATGGCTCTTCTTTTTTATTCATAACATATCCGAAGTGGCATATATAAGTATTATTTTTTACTTCAACCAAAAGTAATGCTCAGACTCTCCTAATACATTCAATCTCTGCTCACTTCATCAAACCAGTGCCACTGTTTATCAGAAGGTTTTTGAACATTTCTAAAGACCGATTTGTAATTACTGCTTTCTTATCAAGATTAAAAATCCTGCTATGATTCTTTTATTATATAAATATATTTTGATGTATATACTTGCAAAGATTTTAATGATACATATCACCTTTTGTATATTCCCTACCTTTAGGGTTTTTTATTTTTATTTTTATTGCAAAATTTTATTGCCACAAGGTGGCAGACAAGATGAAGTCTAAAGTACCAAATATGTAAGAAAAATCCCTATTTTAAAAATGATTTTATAATGGTAGTATCTACATTCATTCATTCATTTTAAAAAACTTATTAAATATTTCCACCAAGAGCCTATTCCTGTGCTAGGCAGTGGAGAGACAGTTATAAATAGAAAATACATGATGCTTATACACCAGCAGAAGTAGCAGAGTGTAAATAAATAAATAAATATTAGCATATATATGAGATGAAGAGTATGATAAATGCTGTGAAGGAAATCAACATAAGTTATGTTGCAGAGCCAGCATAGTATATTTAGTCAGACCACAACGTCTAGAATGTGACTGCCTAGGTTCAAATTATGACTGCTCCACTCACTAGACTGAATTTAACTTTCAAAAAAACTAGGTTATAATAGTACTTACTTCACAAGTACTATTTCACAAGGTTTTGTGAAAAATAATTATAAACCCATGAATTTTTTATTCTAACCGTGACACAGTTATTGGTACTGAATCTGCCTTCTTGCTGTAAACAACTGTAAAACTGGACAAAATATAAGAGGCAACGGCTTTCAGGCCTTGGACAATGGTCAGAGCAGGACTGTGATCCCTGAAAGAAGGAAAATACACAGGATGAGCCCCATAATCTTCTCAGCTTTTTGTTCGGTTTATTTTTCTGCCCTAGTTCAGGGACATGGATATCAAGTTAAACTACAGTCTCACCAAACTGAAGAGGCCGAGATTAGAATAGCAAGGCTGCCAAGGAAGCTATAATGACAGGAAACATGGCCAAGAAAGAGGTAGCTGTGTGAAAGGGTTGAGAGACAGAAGTCTGCATGGGAATTTACTGTAAGTTCTTAGCCAAGGTCTGAGCCATGCATGTGAGGAAAGAGATTCCATACAGCAGAAATTGCCTGCCACAGAACTAAGTGCTAAATGGAAATACTTAGGTGACCTGCAGTGCTTGGAAATGTTGGAGTATTAGGGTAAAGAGACTTCACTCAGCACCTCAGGTACTCAGTTGAGCCCCAGAAAGATCATACTATAATAGTAAGGACCATGACCTACCAAAAGGACCACACCTTAAGATTAAATTCAAAGACAAAATAGACCTGTCTTAACAAAAAATACAACTAAGCTTCACAAGAACAAGAGTATCTGCCATTGCATTCTCTCACAGGGGGAAAAAAACAAAAACAAAAAAACCTCAACATCTTAACATATTTTTCAGGAAATATGTCATAATCCAGATTCCCCACAAAGTCTCACCCAAAATATCCAGCATAAAGTTAAAAATTACCACACATGCAAAGAAGTAGGAAAATGAGACTTAAGAAAATAAGCAGTCCATAGAAATAGACTTCAAGATGTAGAACCAGATATAGATCTTCGAGACCCAGATGTAGAACTGGCAGACAAGGATTTCAACAAACCTATGAAAGTACATTCAAGGATCTTAAGGTAAAAATAGTTGTAATGAGTGAAGAGATGAGAATCCCAACAAAGAAACAGAAGCTATGGGAAGAACCAAATGGAGATTTAGCATAGATGAATAAAATATCTGACCTTTAAAATGTACTAATTTATTACTTTAACATCAGTTTGGAGAATGCTAAAGAAAGGACTAGTGAAGTTGAAGACAAATCGATAGAAATTATCCACTATAAAGACAAGAGATAGACAATAAAAGATTTTTTAAAAATTAATCAATGGCTCAGTGACCTGTCCTCAGGGATAGTAACAAGAAATCTAACATACATGTAATTGAAGTCTCAGAGAAAGAAGAAAGAGAAAATAGGATATAAAAAATAATTTCTGGAAATTTTCCATTTTGGTTAAAAACAAAAAAGAAAACCCAGTAAGCCTCAGCAGGAGAGGCTGATTCAAAGACGATCGCATCTAGGAACATCATAATCAAACTGATGAAAACCCAAGATGAAGAGAAAATATTAAAGGCAGCCAAAGAAAAACAACGCATTACACAGGAGGAACAATGATACAAATCACTGGTAACTCTTAATCAGAAATATGGATGCCAAAATACAATGGAACGACAACTTTAAAGTGCCGAAAGCAAAATTTAAACTAGAATTTGATTTTCAGCAAGTAAAATGAAAATATTTTCATATAAATAAAAGTTAAAAAATTAATCTTTACCAGATCTGCACTTTGAGAATAATAAAGAGAAATGTAGAAAATGGCAATAGATTGAAACTTGTAGGAAATGGCAATAGATTGAAACTTGTAAGAAATGGCAATAGATTGAAACTTGAACTACAAAAAAGAAAGAAGAGTACCAGAGGTGATAAATGGTAAATATAAAAGACTATTATATGAAAATGATAAATGGTAAATATAAAAGTACCAGAAGTGATAAATGGTAAATATAAAAGACTGTATTTTCTTTTCAAAATGTCCTTAAAGATAAATGTTTAAACAGAAAATGATAGCATTTTTATTATATTAACTAAATTAAAAATAATAATAAGATTACACATGCCAATGTAAAATATTTGACTACAATATCACAAAGGCCTGTGGGTGGGAGAACAAATGGAATTTTACTATAGTAAGGCTTTTTTACATGAAATGGTACAATATTAACTGTAAATAGACTATGATAAAGATGCAAATGATTAAAAATATAAAAATTATAGCTAGAAAGCCAATAATTGACTTAAAATTAATTACTAATGAATATTTAATTAACTGAAAATAAGTCAAGAAAGGAGGAAGAAAAGAATAAAAAATAGATGAGATACTGGAAAACAGAAGCATGATGGCAGAGTTCAATCAAACTACGTCAGTAATTACATCAAACATATGTACATTGATTGAAAATTCCAGTTAAAAGGCAGAGACCATCAGTCTGGATTACATTGCAAGGCTCAACTAAATGCTATCTATATAAAGCATACATTGAAAGTAAAAAAATGAAAAATGATACACTATACAATAAACATAAAAGTCTATTTTTAATGCTTAATTTTGCTGTGTTATTACCAAAGTAGAATTTAAGAGAAGGTGTACTACTAGAGATGAAAATAAGACTCAATTAAAATTTCAAAAATTTTAAAACCTTATAGAGCTTGTTCTCTAACCATAATGTAATTAAATTAGAAATCAATTTAAGACTAAGACACCTAGAAAACCCCTCCAAATACTTGGAAATTAAACCATACACATCTAAGTAACTCATGGATCAAAATTAAACAAAGGCATAGATTTGAATCCCTGCTTTATCAGTTACTAGCTTTGACTTTCATAATTAACTTCCCTTGGCCTCTGTTTTCTCTTCTTTAAATATAAGTAAAATGCTCAAAAGCATCCCTGAATATCAAAATATATCAGGTTTGTGTTTTATTGTAATCCCACCACCAATAACAAATACAGGTAATTTTCAGTGGTAATAGAAATAAGCTCTATATTTTCATAAAGGAGACTATTATTTTTAAAATGCCTTTCTGCCTGTAATGCCAACACTTTGGGAGGCCAAGGGGGGTGGATCGCTGAGGTCAGGAGGAGTTCAAGACCAGACTGCCCAAAATGGTGAAACCCCATCTCTACCAAAAATACAAAATTAGCTGGGTGTGGTGGCACACACCTGTAACAGTCCCAGCTACTTGGGAGGCTGAGACAGGAGAATCACTTGAACCCGGGAGGGAGAGGCCACAGTGAACCAAGATGACACCACTGCACTCCAGCCTGGGCGAGACAGAGCGAGACTCTGTTTCAAAAAATAATAATAAATTAATAAATAAAATACCCTTCTGAACATAACATACTCAATAAAGTAGACAATTGGAAATCGTCTATGAAAATACAGCTTTTGGGGTGTTATCAATCACAGTTTCGTGGATAATTATGATCAAAGGTGATATTCGCTTAAAGCATTACAGATACCCGTGAGTTTTAGAATGAATTGATTCATAATAGAAGTAATAGGAATTTTGCAAATTTCTTGCAGATATCAAGAAATGAGATATTTTAAATACAATAACCTCTTCTTTTTTTTATTTTTATACTTTAAGTTTTAGGGTACATGTGCACAATGTGCAGGTTTGTTACATATGTATACATGCGCCATGTTGGTGTGCTGCACCCATTAACTTGTCATTTAACATTAGGTATATCTCCTAATGCTATCCCTCCCCCGCCCCCATCCCGCAACAGCCCCGGTGTGTGATGTTCCCCTCTCTTCTTTACCAGAACTGAGGGTTTAAAATTTGGCCACTAAATGTAACACATCAACAACATTAGATAAAATAATTGTCATGATCTCGGATGAACTTAAACAAAACTACAATACTATAGTAAAATAATAGGGAACATTGCGGGTGCCAGTTTTTTGATATGAACAAATATATAGGCTACTAAGTATTAGTGTTGTTACTGCTTCTAGGGGATAATAATTGGGAACACAAAAGGAAAGGATGTAATCTTACCTGCATATATCTCTTAACACCTCACAATGTCTTGCTTTGGGAAAACATATGGGTGGTTGTTCTGATGATACTGCCATTCATTTCTGAAAGACATTACATTATCCATACTCATTTTCATCAACTCTTAAAAGAAAGGCTCAATGAAGAGAATGTTTCTTCCTACTTACTTCCTTCTGTGATTCATAGATTACTGATTGTTTCTTCCAATTAAATAAGCAAACAGTCTGTGTGTGTGCCCATGTGTGCATGAGTTTATGTTTGTATGGGCTTGCCAGTGTGAAGAAAATAAAAGGAAATCCTGGCATTGCTATTTTAAAGATACCTGGTTGGTCTTTTTGCAAGTTAGGCAGTTTGCCTCCTTGAGAAGTCAGGAGAAATAAAAATGCTATATGGATCATTAGTACTTTATGTCTCTTGCTATTGTATTCCCCCCAAAATAAATCCACCTATAAAAATATGCTTCCTCTGAAGATCACATTAAATATTCCAACTCATTCTTGAAACCCTAAAAAAATATATAAAGGATGCTAATTTTTGTGAAAGGGCAAAGATTATACTTCCTTTGTTTCTACTGTAGGGAACAACTATTATACAACACCTTTCTGCAGTGCAAAGTTGACTACATTAAGAAATAGTTCTCAAGCAGGAACAAGGACAAGCATTCATTGAACACCCACCGTGTGGCAGGTGGAAACTGGGCCCTTTATAAGCTATCTCACTTAGTTCTCCACTAACTTCCTGAGAAGGTTTTCTTATTACCATTTCCCTGGCAAATAAACTACATCCCAGCAAACCTATGGCATTACGGTCATTATCCTTCCTCCAAAAATTCTAGCTGTCATGTCATTTCATCCTGAAAATGATGAAAATCATACCATCTTTAAAATCTGGAGGACTTCTCTTGCAGGTTATGGTAGCATTGAGAAATACTAGACATTGTCTTTGAACTCATAGAACTCAGATTCAGCTACCACTTCACTCACTGGGTTGTAAAGCCTTGCTTTCCTCATGTGTGATTTGTGAATAATAACATTTAGCAAGTCTATTTTACAATATTGACACAACACAACTTTTAAATCACGAGACTCTACTAAAATACGTCCACTTTCCTCCCCTTTCTTATACCTGAAATCCTCCCTTTTCTTTGTGATTGTCATATGAATTAATAAAATAGCCTTGCAGGGTAAATACATAGGCTTATTTGTATAAAAAGTAAGAAAAATGATAATGAAGATTAAAGCAAATAAATTCCAGAAAATAATTAAATATAGCTATATATTATCCAAATAAAAATGGCTAAGTTTCTAAGGGTCATCATTTATTTCTCTTGTATGAACACAAGAAACAGGATCCAGATGGCTAAGACATCTTATTAGAGGTTTCTTTACTAAAGAAGTAAAGGAGGAGGAAGAAGAGAAGAAGGAGGTGGGGGGCTGGAGGAGGAAGACAACCATGACTATGTACAATAAGAGAGGAAAATGTAAAGACATAGCAAAGACAGAGAAAAACAGATTAGGCCCCTCTTGAGCTTTTAATCATAGGCATGTTCTGAAGGTGGATCAGATTCCCTGAGGAGCCTTCCAAATTGCAAAAGATGTGATAAAGGGATCACACTCTGTTTATATTAAATACACTCACCACCTTTTAAATGCATATGTTGATCATTTTTTCATAACAGAGCTTGCAATTATTAATTAAAATAGCTCTGCATACAGCACTCCTGTATTGCCTCTATGACACTTTGCCATGCCTCCCACAGCTCTTCACCCAGACATTTTATCTTCTACCCTTATATTCAAGTTGATAGCAGTTTAGTTTATAATCATCTTGCTTGATGTTTTCTTTCTCATCTTAGCTTTCACTCTTTCTCTTCTTAAAATTTAACCTCATCTTATCCCTGAGGTCGGTGGCCACTTGGCATTTATTGTTCCCATTTATTCATGAATATGAAAATAGTTTATAAATGAGGAAACAATATATGAGCATAATGGAGTGGTATTGTTATGAAACAATGCATCTGTTGTTGGGAGACTCTCTTTAGAATGTGAATCTACTAGTTATTATTGATTTGCTGTTTGCTTTTGATTTCCATGTGGTCTTTAGAAAACAGATTAGGGTGTGCTCCCATGCTGAGGACTGCCTTTGGGAGATGTTCATTTTGACACTTGAAGCTGGCAAGAAGGCTGCACAGGTACTCCTTGTGGGTGGGTTTATTCATATTATTTTAAGATGATTCTTTTATATTTGTTTTTTACTTTCTAATATATCAGTTCTAAAATCCATTCTAATGAGTTGAACAAGTCATTTAGGCTTTTCTGCAACCTCTTCCTCTGTAATTCTCACTGGGGCATTAAAAGCATTCATGTACTTCAGATTTTAAAAGTTCTAACACATGTAAGTGGTGTGTCCTGGGGTTTAAAAAAAAAAGTTCTAGATTGTCAAGGATTAACTCTATAATTACAAATAAAGAGAGAAGTTGTAAGATTCCTTGTACTGTAGGGAAACAAACTTCAGAAATCAAAGGCCTGAATTTGAATCCTTGCAAAACTGCTGGCTAGCCTTGACTTTCTCAAGTCACATAATTGCCCTTAGCCTCAATTTCTAGATTTCTAAACATAAGATCATGACAATATCTTCCTCAACACTTGTGAAAGGTGTCAAATGATATTACAGATGTGAAAATGTTTTGCAAATGGAAAATTTCTGTGCAAATTTCAGCCTTAATGTCACCCTTGTGACATTTCAAACACCTCAAGTGACCAGCCTGAAATTTTACGAGTCTAGAATTCACAAACTTCTTTTCCTGAGCACATTTGCTCGATTTAGCACAGTGAATGGCTGGTCTATTTAATGCTTATCAACAAGGAGAAAACTATTTTGATGGTCCCCATGGGGACATGTCTGTTTTTAGCCTCCCAATTTGTTGCCTCTACGTGCAAAAAGATTTCCAGACAAGTGGTGAAAAACTGAAATAGGTAAGGACCAACACTAAAACTGAGAAATTCTAGGGAAACATAGAGAGCTGATGAATACTAGATATCCAAAAATATTTTAAAAGATTAGCTTAGAAGAAAACTGGAAGACTATCCACATTTCCAAATTTAACCAGCACAATTTTAAAGAACTAAGGCTCATTCCCACTGAATCGGCCTCACCCAGGCTATACTGTAAAACTGATGTTTGTGTCTTGTTCTCAAGGCAACTTCCCTCAATGTTTTGTTGCCCTAATGGTCTTTTCTGGGACACTTGGCTTGGAGAAGTCACTATATAGGGTATTACATACAAGGTTACAAGTAGCAAGAGACAAACCAGTTTTTATTGGAGGAGATAAAAAAAAGACTCAGATGCCAACCCCTACTCATTTTATAACTCTTGCCAGCCTATGCCTGATATTTAAAATTTTCTTTCTACTTCCTTTCCAGATAGAAATCTCTTGTTGAGTATGCATGACTCACCCTCACTCTAGTAGTTTACCTTTGAAGAGCTGATGACCTTACAAACAGATACCACTCTGCTATCCCTTCGACTTTTCACATTTCAAGAATGTGTATTTTATGGATATGGATATTTTTTAGGATATTCCATACATATTCTACATTACTGACAACATAGCATTAGCCTTAACAGGCATTTTGCAAATCCTGTGGCTATACTGTTATTGCTGTACTTCCTTAAACCATTCCTCATTTTCTTTTCTGTTGCTATGACAAGAATTCTTCATATTCATCCTCTCTTGGGCCTGTGACCTTTTCTCATTTCTTGTTGAAGACTGAAGAGCAGCCATATGTTAAGTTATAACACCTTTAGTTTGAGAAGAAATGTCTCCTTGGTGGCACTGTCTATAACTTTGCTCACAGGTTATAGATGTGACATACACCTTTCTTATGACTCTTCCTCACTGGGGAAAATGCAGACCATGTACCTTTCCTGGCTCACCTAGGCAAAATAATTTTACAATTGGATAGAAATGTTCTTATGTTATTACCAGTTATTAAGCTTTTACTAGCAAATATGACTTTGACACAGAAGACAGTTGAATTCAAAGCAGTGTTTGATTTTTGAGTGCTTAACAATGAGAAATTAGCAGATGAAAGAAATATATACTTCACTCTGCATTTAACCTTATCATTTTGCTTTGTTTTTAGACTTCTAGTTCCTATAAGCTTTCCTTGTGGAATCTGTTCAACACATACAGGCTCTGGGAAAGTAGTTCTTGGTTTTTGTGGAAAGAAAATAATGTGAAAATAACATCGAGAAGTCACATGTAGTACCCAAAAAAGGCAGAGAGGGTATTTTAGTCTTAGGAAGGAGGGCAAAAAGATGGTGTAATATAATGCAAATTAACCAACAAGCATGTTCCATGTGCTTCTTCATCTTCATTCTTGTAGTTACAGCCTTCATCCAAATTTTGACTATTTACTTGTATAGTGATCCTCAAACTTTGAGGATTTTACCATATTTTTAAACATTATATAATTTTATATTTTAACGTCGTTACATTTTTAAACATTATTAAAGATCCCAAAGGGTTTTTGCTTATGTGAGTCTCATCTATAAATATCTGCCATATAGAAATGACAACTTAGAAATTAAAACATATTTATTTACTCACTCACTTCAAAATGATAATCCCATTACATGTTAAATATTTTATGAAAAAATAACCATGCAATATTTTTAAACATGCATGAAAGCAGTAACATTGACATTTTGCAAGAGTGATTTCATAAAAGAAAGCTGAGTTCTCATATCTGATCCTGCATTCAATGTATTATAATATGGTTGACTTATATGAACAAAATTCAATGTCACACAAGGTATGCAGCTAGAAAATGAAAGATAATTTGAATAGTCTTTTCAGATAATCTTGAATATTCTTCTTTGATACTACACCAAGACTTGACAAGTGGTAGTTTCTTAATGATTAATTGCAATATGGATTCTGAAACCATATCAATCAATGTTGTACTCTGTAACATTAAAAGCCATTAGTTCATCTTATACTTTGATTGGATTGTTTATCCATTCATGAGTTAGTAATATTACCTGTTGGTCATTTAGAAAACATGCAGATTTCTGAATGTTGACACATTTCATTATGCAAAACCAAATTTTTAAATTGCAGTTGTTAATATCACCGACCTCATCAGAAAAGTCTTAAAGCATTAGGTGACTGTCAAGCTCGCAGTGACAGATATAAGTTTTCCAAAATACTAATTTTTGCTTGAAAGCTCAAAATTTTATCACTAGCAATATATACTGTCAGTTGTGTTCCTTTAAGTGACAGGCACACATTTCATTTTTTAGAAAATGTCTGCCAAATTTCAAGTCTGATAATCATAATTTGTTAGCCATTCTTCCAAGTAAAATATAGTGTTCCATAGAAACAGTGCCTAAGTCAGCTCACAAATGTAAACAATGGAACAAGTGCAGAAGTGCTTTTCCCCAAGACAGCTATTATATTTTGGTATGCAGAAGAAGTGCTTGATGCATACTTCTTACATCATCCTACCAAATGTTAAAGAGACATGTACTCAAGGATTGAAATTTATTAAAAAAAAAAAAAATAGAGGCTGAGTGTCCATAATGGTAAAGAATACACTCAGTGAATACCAGAACAGTTTGGTATCACCTGTTTGCTTCCTGCAAAGAAGCCAGCTGTTTTCCCTACCATGCTTTTGCAACATTGGTGCAAATGTCAATACAGTGAAAAGGGAAAATAATTTCTTAATATTATTATGAAAATTTACCTCATGAGCCCCCTGAAAATGTCAAGGAACCTATAGAAAATTTGCAGGCTGCACGTTGAGAACCACTCTACTTTTTCACAGCATCCTTGGCATTCTCCCAGCATTTGGATTTTTCATCAGAATAGTTGCAATAGTTGTCTTCTTTAAAAGTGTTTCCATTATGTGCTTTCTTAGTAATCCCTGAAGCATTAGTAGTTTCTTTCATAAAATTAAAAATCCTTTCACTATTGAACAGCCCTTAATAGACTCCCACCTTCCCCAATGATCAATTTATTGCTTTAGCCAAGCTAATTTACAGGGCGGTTGTTAATATGGCTTACCATCATCCTCTATCACCAAGTCATTTCTGAGGCACTCTCCCAGTTTGAATTTTCTACCTTCCTTCCTTTGATGTGACTATTTCAAAGGCAGCTCAAAACTCACTTTCTTCGGATTTCTTTCCAGATTAGCCCTTTTTAAGTTTTAAATTGTCCTATCATTGCAAATCCCCTTCCTAAACCTTTTATTTTTCCATCTCCCTTGCAAGCATCGCACAGTTTAACTGTTTCAAGTTTTGATGTGTTGATTACTGGTTATGTATGTATTTTTATTATTTCTCTCAAGTAGGTTAACACTTAGTTGAGGGCTAGTCAGTTAGTATCCAATGTAGCATTTTCAACAAACACAACACAATATATGCTGTTGTCATTATATTCACAGAAATGGCAGCACTACTAAAAATATCTGGAAAGCGTATTCTTTCCAAAGTAATGTGCTGTGACACTCTATTTGGTGCAAGTCACAACAGGTTGAGACTCAATACAGTGAGCCAAAGAAGACAGAATGTCAAAATGAGAGATTTAATAATCGGTGTCAATCAAGAAAGGAGTGTGTATTACAAAGAAAAACCATTAATACATTCATTTATAATATTACTAATTAGTAGATTTCCTTAATGGGAATCACTTAAAGAAACAGTAGTTTGATCTATAACTAAACCTTGAATCCAGTATTGAGATAATTCCCATATCAAAGTCCATATCCAATTCAAATTTTGACTTTAAACTTTCAAACTATACTATATAACCTGGTGGTTTAGCTGGGCTGGACATTATCTACATAAATACAATGTCCATTGTGGAACTCCCATTAATTCTGTTAATTTAGCAAAGGAAAATCAGAGACAATATTTAGAAGTCCTACAATGTCATAAAGCGTAGGAATAACAATCAATATTTCTCTTTTGGTAAAAGGGCCACAAAGGGCTTAAGTAGGTAAAATATTGTTACCTGGATGTAATTTAATACTTCCACGAATCAAAAAATTATGATGTTAATATGAGTAATTTTAATACCTGATAGACAAATTGTTTTGATTTTTCTGTCAAACTTCCCTCTAATTCTAAGACTCTAACATCAAAAATCCCTCTAATTTTCAGACTCTAAAAGAAATAAGGATATGATTTTATTATCCAATAAAATTATGTAATGGAATTCAGTATACTATATTTCAGTTCATTTTAAAATTTCTTGTGTAATTTGCTATTTGAAGGCAGCATAAAAAATAATAGAATGCAGACAAACACTTATTTCCATACAATAAGGCTACTCAAAATATTAGTTTAAGTATGTATTTACCTTTCTGGCTCTTTTCTTTAAAACCTGAACAGTGGCTGGAACATGGTTTATACTCAAAAATTATTGCCGAATGAATCATAAGTAATTTCCAATAGGTAGAACAGAGGGAAGTTTATTCATTGTACCTTTCAAAGTAATCATTCTAAAATACATCTCAGCCAGGCGCGGCAGCTCACTCCTGTAATCCCAGCTCTTTGGGAGGCTGAGGCAGACAGATCACTTGAGATCAGGAGTTCAAGATCAGCCTGGCCAACATAGTGAAACCCCGTCTGTACTAAAAATACAAAAATTAGCCAGGCGTGGTGGTGCACACCTGTAGTCCCAGCTACCTGGGAGGCTGAGGCAGGAGAATCGCTTGAACTTGGGAGGCAGAAGTTGCAGAGAGCCAAGATAATGCCACTGCACTTCAGCCTGGGTGTCAGAGTGAGACTCCGTCCCCCCTAAAAACTAAACTAAAATAAAATAAACCTCACCCAAGTAACACAGCGAATGGAAAAAAACATGTGAAACTCAACACACTGCTCTTGAACCACCATCACCAATCCTCCACCCTCCCCTCCAGTATTAGACAGACAGATGTGTAGGGCCTTACATCTACATCTTTGGTTTCTGAACCTTGAGAGCTTTTCTACAAGAGAGGTGATAGCTGATATTTTGGTTCACAGACTCCAAAGGAAAGATAATAGGGCCAACACTGTATTATTTTTTAAGAGAAAATGTCAAGAACGAAAAATGAAAATGTCAAAAGATAGGTTGATATACTGTATTACTTAAAGACTATTTTGTTGGGAGAACTGACCAAGTGATTTACTAACAGCTTTTACCAGACAGACTCGGGATTACAATGTAGATGAAGAAATAAATGGGAATTTATTTCACGTTCACTCTATCCAGGCATTTGACAGATGAAAGAAAAAATGGAAAGACACAATTACAGTCTACAAAGATGAGGATCTTTTTTCAGATTTTCAAATTATAAAAAAATATATATTTTTTCTTGGGAATTGTTTTCAAATGCCCTACTTATCTATCTCTACGCTGATATTATTACATTAACTGCCTTTTGTTCCTGATCACATCTGCCTAAGGTAGAAACTGTAAGATTGTGTACATTTGATGTTCAACTGGGATACAGGCACAAAAGTTGGTGGAGAGTGATCCTTGATATATTCAGGTCACAAGAGATGTAGATCTCATTCATGAACCTTAGATATGATTAGGTTCTCTGGAGGCTCTTGAGGAAATGTTGTTCAGCCACTTTATTAACATTGCTTTATTCTGTAAACATTTATTGACTGCCTATTATGTGCCAGGCATTCACTTAGGTGCTGAATATATAAAGGTGAATGATAACGGTGAGTATTACTTCCCATTATGGAGAAGTCTGCGGTGGATAAAGAGTAATTAACTGAGTAAGAAAGTCGAAGAAATGTAGAAAAAAATAAATGTTCTCTATTGCTCAAGAAGGCATTTCACTGCATGCCTCTAAAGATCCAGTAATCATACCTACTTTTGATGGTTATTTGATGCATGTTAACTGGTAATACTCCTTTGGATGAAGAACATGGAAGGCTTGAAGCCCTAGGCGACTCCCTTCTAAAAGTTCTTATTTTTTGGTATAGATGATCCATTAAATGTATTATTTGAATCCCCCACTGTATAATTATAAATTCTGTCTTCCTAAACAAGGTAATGTCATACTCAAATTTTAGAGTAAAATATACTTAAACATAGATCCTGATGATTTTTAATGTGTTTTCATTACTAGCTCTATAAAGAAGATAGACCATATAACATTTCTTTCTGACTATATATTTTTCAGTGTTGTGACAATATAGCAAATTCTTTTAAGTAATTATTTCATAAATTATTTGTCATGTCAAGAAATAGGTGTTTGTTGTTCACTTGAGATAATTCAATAATTTAATATTTTTCACATTTAATTAGTTGCAGAATTAATTGTAATTTTGGGGATAAAACATGAAAGACAATATTTGAGTTGTTTTCTGTTTGACTTCTCAAAACCTCATTTTCTTCTGCTGTGCCACATACATGCTGAGATCTCAAGTAATATTTGAGAATGATTTCTTGTTGTTATTTCCCTGAAGTTAGGTTCTACTTTCATGCTTTTGCAAAAACATACTCTGCTAGTGTTTTGGCAGAGCTATATGCTTTGTTTGACAATAATCTACAGTAATTTTCTTATTTCAAAATCCAATGCCTTTATTTCTAATTTTATGGTCTAATACTTTGTAAAGCAGTTCTTTTTCTCAATGTAAATTAAATTGGGTTATTCCATTTTTCTATCTTGATTATCTATTGAAGATATTTAAACTGACTGCATGAACTTTTTAAAAGCAGAGGACTATTATACTTTATTTTAGTTTTAATTTAATTCTAATGATCAATCTTTTGTAGCAAGTCAATTGACTAAATAAGACAAAACCACTAAGATTCACTGAATCTCTGTATAGTGACAGCACTGTTGCATAAGTTTTCTTTCTATTCTCATTTTTTACCTACCCCAGAATTTAAGTTACTAGATTGAGATTTAGTACTATGCCAACAGCCCATGTTGAAAGACTCTCTAAGAAGCAACAATATGGAACACTCGCTGATTTTTCTGTAAATCTGTTACTGAGAACACAGATTGTTACATTATAGGGCATCTTTGGATAAGCTCATCTTTCTGATTGTAGGCCAAGAAATACTTGAGTTGAACAATTGCTTGTTTAATACTGGCTATGCGACCCTCTTTTCATTAGCTACCAGCAAATTTAGATGTGTAGTCATTTCAATCAAACTTTTAGGATCTTAAGATATAATATTTGTGCACTAACCTCATCCAGGCTTCATCTTAACTCTCCCTACTTTTAATCTTGCTTCCACATTCAGTTATTTTTGTTGTCGTTTTAACTGTGGTAAAATATACATAACATAAAATGTACGATCTTACCCAGTGTTAAGTGTACAGTTCAATTGTGTTAAGTACTTTCACGTTGTGCAGGCAATTTCCAGAACTCTTCCAATCTTGCAAAACTAAAAGTCTATGCCTATTAAATAACAAATCCCTGTTCCCCTTTCCTCCTGTCCCCTGGCAATCACCATTCTGCTTCCTGTCCCCATAAATTTGACTACTCCAGGTACATCAATGAAAATGGAAACATACAGTATTTCTCTCTTTGTGTCTGGCTTATTTCACAAAGTATAATGTCTGAAGTGCATTCATGTTGTAGCATGTGTCTTAATTTTCTTGCTTTTTAAGTCTGAAGAGTATTCCATTGTATGTTAGATACCATGTTTTGTTAATCCATTCATCCATCAATGGACGTTGGGTTGCTTCTACCTTTTGATTATTTTGAATAATGCTGCTTTGAACATGAGGATACAAATATTTCCTGGAGACTCTGATTTCAATTATTTTAGGTATATACACAGGAGTGGAATTGCTGGATCATGTAGTAATTATATTTTTTAACTTTTTGAGGAACTTCCATACTTTGTTCTATAGTGGGTGCATCATTTTACAATCCCACAAACAGTGCACAAGCATTCTAATTTCTCCACATCCTTGCCAACACTTTTTTATTTCTGATTTTTTATAGTAGCTATTCTAATGGGTGTGAGATGGTATCTCATTGTGGTTTTGGTTTGAATTTCCCTAACAATTAGTGATGTAAACATCTTTTCATATGCTTATTGGCCCTTGGTATATCACCTTTGGAAAAATGTCTATTAAAGTTCTTTGTCCATTTTTAACAGGGTTGTCTTTTAAATTGTTGTTAACTCAAAGAAGTTTCTTATATATTCTGGATATCAACCCTGTAACAGATATAAGATTTGCAAATATTTTCTCCCATTCTGTGGGCTGCTGTGTTACTCTGTTTATATTGTCCTTTGATGAACAGAAGTTTTTAATTTTGATACAGTCCGATTTGTTTATTTTTATTTATTTCCTGTGAGTTATTTTTACTTTCATTTAACTTCATAAGTATTTTATAAGCTACCTTAATCCCTTCCTAGGACAGAATATAGATAGACAGGTAGGTGGGTGGGTAGATAGATAGATAGATAGATAGATAGATAGATAGATAGATAGATAGTAAAGTAACCACTCTGTCTTCAATATTAGGCATCCTGTCACTTACCTGTGATATCTTAATTTTCCCATTGTTATGAATGCTTTTCAAATTTATTAATGGCATGAATGTAACAAATAGGTCTTACACATCTGAACAAAAGCTATCCATAATTTCTGAATGTGGTGGCATGCACCTGTGGTCCCAGCTACTAAGGTTGAGGCTGCAGTAAACCATGATCACACCATTACACTCTAGCCTTGGCAACAGAGCAAAGCCCTGTATAAAAATAAAAATAAAAATCTATCCCTATGGGGAGAAAATTACCCATGTGTATAGCAGTTTTGCATATCTTGTGACCAAGGCGCTGACTGGTCTTTGCTCCAGACTATCTTTTCAAAGATGGTTGTGTGGCAAACAGCCTTAGAAGGAAAGACAAGTCTTTTTACTGCCTTGCCAGGTGTACTGTTTCCCCCTAGAGCAAAAGATAGGCAACCTTACAGCCCATTACAAAATATTCACATTCTCTAAACTCATATTTTTCTCATGTGGTACAACCTAGTGCATGTGAAGGTGTCACCTGAGCTTCCTTTCACCACCATCTGGGATCTATGGTTCAGAGAACCAGTAAAACAAACAAACAAACAACAACAAAACAAACAAACAAAAAAAAAACTCTGATTACTGTTATTGCTGTGAACAATAAACTGTCCTTTGTCTCTGACCCTGGAGGCTCATACCTTCTACCAGCTTCCATAAAACTGCTTCAAGCTAACTTGTTAGTTTGCAAGTAGGGAAAAAAAACTCAGACTCTTCACAGTGCTGGATAATGCATTATAAGAAATTTTCGTGAATATACTTGAAAGTCATTTAGCCTTATCTCCCACTCAGTGAGGAATTTATTCTACATGTCCTGACAGATGGCATTCTAAATATCATTTAAATGTTTCCAGTAAAAGGAAATTCTCCTGAAAGCCTGTTGCATCATTGGTTAGTAAGTCCCCCCTTATGTTGAACTGAGCTATTTGTAGCTTTATAACTGGTTTTTGCCTGGCCTCATCTGATATTACATAGAATAATTATTCTATATTCCATATGGAAGGGCATTGTATTTGAATATATTTACTGAGGCTGATATTATTTTACTCTCTAAACATATTTATTTCATTCCATATTCTTCACACACTATGTTTTCCAGATCACTCATTCTAGACAGCTTCCGATATGGTGATGATCTTCACAGATGCTCAGAACTATAGATGAATTCAAGGGACTATATGGTGAAGGCACAATTCAGTGAAAACATCACTTGTTATTTGAAAACAATGTGTTATATTGATTTAGCACAAAATTTTATGTGCAATTTTTGTAGCTCTATTATATTATCATATCATTTAGCTTGCAGTTAAAATATTCAGATTTTTTCCATATGATCAAACTCAAGCCATGATTATCTTTATAAAATGATTGTTTATAACTAAGATTTTTTATTTTTAAACAGTCCATATTATTTTAAATTTTGCTTACGTCATCAGTGATATAAGTTCCTGTTGCAGTAAAATTTATGCCGTCTGAAAATTTTATCGACATCCTTTCAATTTCTTAATCTTAGTTCACTAATGAAAATAAGGTCCACAAAAAGGGCTAAAGACATTTCATTAGATTCCTTATTTCATAATAACACAGATCATACTTACATAGCATTAATCAGTTATTCAATTGGTTATAATCTACGAAATGATGCTATTATCCAGCATAAATGTCATCATCTTATCCATAAAGTTATCATGATTCGCTGAAATTAAAACATTCCATGTTCCTAGCTTTCTCTAGATCTACCACCTATTTCTATTTTAAGAACATCAGCAAGTTATTAAAAGAATAAGAGGAGTGTTGCCTCGGGAGGATGAAACAATCACTACTTTGCTAACAGCCAAGACAATGGTAACTAGATGGGCATCTTTGCCTAAAAAAGAAATTGAAAGAAAGAAAGAGAGAGAGAGAAAGGAAGGAAGGAAGGAAGGAAGGAAGGAAGGAAGGAAGGAAGGAAGGAAGGAAAGAAGGAAGGGAGGGAGGGAGGGAGGGAGGGAGGGAGGGAGGGAGGGAGAAAAAATAAATTTGTTCCCTAATCCCTAGTCTCATATAAAGCTAAAGTCTAAAGTACCTGGGGTAGTGATAGCAGATATTCACATTCTCAGCATCCAGGCAAAAATCCATAGCTTCTGATTGAGAAGTAGAAGCAAAACATATGTCTCTGGGGAAGAAGTCAGAAATTATCCTGTTCCCATAGCCACTGAAGGAAGGGTAAAGCATAAACCCTCTGCTTTGGGGAAGAGATAAAGAGAGATAGAAACCTCTCTTGGGCCCGGGGAAGATACCAAGAGGAGTTCTGCTACCACTAGACAAGAAGCAGAAAACACTCTCTAAAATGAGACCAACCACATATTCAATGCAGGGGTTGGCTGCTATAAGGAAGAGTCCCAGAATGAGGAGGAAAAGGAGAGAGAGGAATGGGACAGAGAAAAAAAGCAAGAATTTTCCAAAATTAAAGGGAAAACAGTAAAATTCAAGTCTGAGAAGCTTAGAGAATTCTGAGGGAAGTAAAACAAAACAAAACAACAGCAACAACAACAAATGGTACTGGAGGTGATAAACAGTACAATAGGGCAAAGAAAATAAACAAATGTTATAGGCTGGAAAGAAATAAATAAGTCATCTTTAGTTGCAGAAGATGTAATCATCTATTTAGAAAATCCCAAAGTATTTTTGGAAAAGCTTTTGGAACTAATAATTAAGCTTAGTAGTATGATGTAGCAGAATACAAGGTCAACGTAAAAAATCAATTATGTTTCTATAAATTAGCAATGAACAATAAGAATTGAAATTTAAAAATCATTGCCAATTATAAGAGCAACAAAAAATATCAAATGTTTGGAATAAATCTAATGAAGTTTGTGTGAGATTTTCATGCTGAAAACTACAAAACATTGATGAAAGAAATTAAATAAAGCCTTAATTATGGAGAAAAGTGCTATATTTATTGATCAGATGACTCAATATTATTAAGATGTCAATAGATCTTAAAGTTTTCTATACACTTATCAAAATCCCAGCAGACATTTTAGCAATTAACAGGCTACTTTCTAAAATGTAAACAGAAAAGTACAGAATTTCAATAAGTCCAAACAATGTTAGAGGGGAAAAAAAAGAACAAAGTTGGGAGGACTTAAACTACCTGATTTAAAGATTTATTATAAATCTATAGTAGTCAAAACTGTTATAATGGCATAAGATAGACAAATAAATCACCAGAACAGAATATTCCATTCCGAAATTGACTCACACAGATATGGTTAATTGATTTTTGATAATCATGTCAAGGTTATTCAATAGAGAAAGAATAGTCTTTACAATGAGTAGTGCCGGGAAAATTGCAGATTTATAAGCAAAATAAAATGTCTTTATCTTTACCTCACACCATAAACAAATTCAACTCCAATAGTTTATAACTGTTAAAACTATCAAACTTTTTGAAGAAAATATGAAAGAAATTCTTTGTCACCTTGGATTAAGCAAAGTTTTCTTAAATAGTATATTTTAAAGGTATAAACTATAAAAGAAAAACAGTCGATAAGTTGGACATCATCAAAAATCTTCTGCTCTTCAAAAGAAACTATTGAGAATATTAAAAGACAAGCCACAGACTCAGAGAAAAATATGTGCAGTATATGTATCTTACAAAGAATTTGTATCCAGAGTACATAAAGAACCCTTACAACACACTAATAAGGAAAAAAAATGCCCAGTTTTTTAAAATGGCAAAAGATTAACAAGAACTTCACAAAAGAATATACACAAATGGCCAATAATCACATGAAAAGATCCTCAACATCTTTAGTTACTAGGGAAATGCAAACTAAAGCCACAATGAGATACCATCTACACCTATCACAGTCGCTAAAACTTTAAACACAACACACGCATACATGCTGATCATACCAGTTCTGGCGACGATGCAAAGCAACTGGAACTTTCATGCATTGCTGGAGAGAATGCAGGATAGTACAACTGCTTTGGAAAGACGTTTAGGAGTTTCTCACAAAGTTGAGCATATGCTTAGAATAGGACCCAGTATTCTCACTCCCCTGTATTTTACCATAAGAAATGAAAGCTTATATCAAAAGATTTGTATATGAATGTTTACAGCAACAGAAACAACAGAGTGTTCATCAGTTGGTGAATGAATAAACAAATTGTGGAAACTGCTAATAGTTAAGCAGTAAAAGGAAGCAAACTATTGATACATACAATAATATGGATGAATCTCAAAACCATTATTCTAAGTGAAAGAAGCCGTACGCATAGGGTATATACTATATTATTCCATTTAAGTGATATTCTAGAGAAGGTAAAACTATAAATTTGGAAAATAGATCAGTGGTTGCCAGAAACTGGGCATAAGGGAAGAAAATTGATTAAAAAGGAAAATGAGAGAACTGTTTAGTACGGTTGTAAATTTCTGTATCTCTATTGTGTTGATGGCTATGTATTTGTCGAAACAGACCAAACTATATACTTTTAAAAAGTGAATACTACTGTATATAAATTATAACTCAATAAAACTGACTTAAATAAAAACATGTTAGAAAAAATTTAACTTTCTGAAAAGTATTATAGAACATGAATATAAACAATGAGAATATTGCCTTTAAAAACAAGCTGGGTTTAAAATGGTAATAATCACCATTAAAATTTACTTTTCAAAAGATTTCCCAAGGAATTTGAATGAAGTAAAAGGTGTCTAGAAGTTTTATTTAAATCATTAAAAATTTAATGTTATCTCCAGTGGTTTCAGACTAACAATACCTTAGAAATAAATATATTATTTCTTCTACATTCCATTAAAATATTTTCAACACTGAACCATTTATTAATTTTCATATATAGCAGAAGAAGAAATTGTCCAAGATATTCTCTATTTACATTGTAATAAAATGGGAAATTAACAGTAAAAGTTATAAGAAAAAAATACCCTTTTGAAATTGAACAATGCTGTCCTAAATAATTCTTTAAAGAGGAATTAAAATCTATAATTAGAGACTGGGAGAAAAAACTATAATGAGAATAAAATATACTCTATCATTCTTAAGGATATGGTCAAAGCTAAAATTATTGTAAAAATTCAAACCTCTAAATGCTTTCTTTAAAAAGAAAACATAAATTTTCTATATGTCAAGAATAAGAGAAATAATAAAAATAAATTTCAGAGAGGACAAATATTGATTAATAAGTATAAAAACAAATGAATAAATCAAAAATAAAACAGTAGAATTAATAGCTAAACCTAATATCAGTTTGATTGAAAAGACAAAATATAAAACCTCTAGCAACTTAATTTTAGTATACGATTTCATAAAAATCATAGCATTATTTTTTAAATGAATTTTTTTATTTGTTCATTTCTCATCCTGGATGTAGTTTTATTTTATTATTCACTTTCTCAATCCTTGGCTTTAATATTCTGTATTAATTTTGATACCTTTCTTGAATCATTAATTAACCTAATTCATCAATACAAAAGATCAAAGGAAAGTCCACAAGATCATTTTGATAGATTCAAAGAATATTTTTAAAAATTATTTACTTCTGGTAACTCTTGGAAAATAACACATAGAATGATACTTCTTTTTTTCTTAAATTGATCAATAATAATAATTATCAATGAAATATTGAAACACTCTTAGATCACCCTACTTATCTAAATTCTTTTTCTAAAAAATTTAGCCTATGTAGTAAGAGAAAAAAATAGTTATAAATACTGAAAAGTAGTAACCAAACATCATTATTTGCAGATGATGTAAATAAAATTAAATTATTGCGATATTAAGTTATAAGGGTACAAAATAAATATTTTTAAAAATACATGTTTAAATGCTATGCTATCAATAAGAGTTTGGAAAATATAATAGAAAAAAATCCCATACCTATTGTGCATACATGTAGTGTTTCTCAAACCTTAATGTGCATACAGATCAACTAAGAATCTCGTTAAAATGTGATTCAGTAGGTTTGAGGTGGGAATCAAGATTTCACATTTTTAGCAAGCTCCCAGGTCCTGATGCTGATTATATTCATAGTAATATATTTATATATATTTATTCTATACATTTTATATAATTCTTAAGCTTTAAAATTCTACATGAGAATATATATGCAAATATGTGTGTGCATATACATAGATATGTGAATATAGACATATTGACATATATTCTCATGCAGAGTTTTCAAACTTAAGAATTAACAAGAAATTAGTAAAATTTCTGTTTTTTTAAAAAAGTTAAAATATTACAAGTAATTAGTAAAACTTCTATTTAAAAAAACTTTAAAATATTACTGGGAGACACAAAAGAATATTTGAATAAAGAAGAGAAATGCCACATTCCTGTATGGGAAGACAATAATATAAAAATGTCTATTCTTCCTAAATTTTAATCTAATGTCTTTAGTTTAATACCAATAAAAATCACCAAATGATCTTTTTGTAGCTGGAAGAAACAAAAATGATAAAGTTCAACAGGAAGAATAAATATGCCATATTAACTAACAAATATATTCACATAGAGGACATTAGGCAGTTGTTTCCCTTCTGGAAATTAAAATCTATTATAAAATAAAGATAATTAGAG
Source organism: Homo sapiens (assembly GCF_000001405.40). Taxonomy (NCBI): domain Eukaryota; kingdom Metazoa; phylum Chordata; class Mammalia; order Primates; family Hominidae; genus Homo; species Homo sapiens. The sequence continues at coordinate 173,023,395 of NC_000003.12, read as the reverse complement.
CATTTTCTGTCACAGAATTAGGCAGATCAAAAGCATGGGCTACAAAGCCCAGCCATAGACCCAAGTGTGCATATGAACTTAGTGTATAATAAACGTGGCATATCAAATCACGAGAGAAGGATGGATTATTTATCAAGCGAATTGGGAAACCTGAGATAATTACCAAAATAGACTTATATTCGAGCCTCATCAGTGTACAAATTTAGGGCTTAATAAAATAAGCACACACACACACACACACACACACACACACACACATACACAAGCATCAAATCATGTGAACTTTAATAAAAAAGATAAATTTTAAAGTATCCACAAATAGAAATCATAAAAAGCACAAGATTTACCACAGGTAACAAATTTGTTTTAAAAATAAACTTTCATTTACTATAATATATATTATTTTACAGGATCCCATTGTTTTAGAAAGGGGTGAATCAATGGAGTAGGCAATCATTGCCCATTACTAACTCCTTTTCTTCTGACAAAAATTCAATGACGTCTATCATTTAGCTAGTCTCTAACATGGTTCTTGTTTTTTACCAAAAGCCCTATCAGCATAGCTAAATCAGAGTTTTTTCCTCTGTGATAAAATCAGACCAATCAGCTCTGAGATTGCTCTCTGATTACAATTGTAGTTTTTTTTTTTTTCACTGTAACTGCAGTGAGATTGTCCATTTTGGTCACAGGCTGCCTCCTGCAGCTTTCCAAATGGCATCAAATGACAAATGATTAAGAACTTTTCAAAAGACAGATCATCATTTCCCCTACAAGTTGCACACGACATAAAATATATCTTTAAAAGGGTATGTCATTTTAGAAAGCATCGATAAATTAATAAAAGTATAAAAGCTAGGCTTTACAACTGCCACTAGCATTTCCTTGCCAAATATCTAACAGGGGCGTAAGATAAGCACACAGTGAATGCTGCAATAATTATAAAAGTCAAAAATAATAAATTGCCAAATAAAATATTTCATCTCAAATTACCAAATATTCTTTTATAATTACACTTTCAGAGTAGAGACTGGGTCTGTGTCTTCCTTCGGTCCCTCTTATGAAGCCGGGAATCATATGGTTTAGGGCAGAGTGGTGTTATGATTAAAAGAACCTAGTCCGTCTAGCAATAGTGATTTCTAAACTCATGTCCTCTACTTGCATTTCTTCAACACCATACAGAGGAATTATAATTACAAGTAATTTTTTTTTAATTCCTATCTTTTTATAAATCACACTGTAATGGTTCCGATAGTGTCAACCTCACCAGCCCTCACTACTCACAAAAATCTTCTCTGCCTACATCCAAAGCAACTCTGATGCCTTCTCTTCTCTCTCCTCTCTCTCTTTTGATAAGCTCTTTCTTCACTACCCCTCCTTCCCAGCACACCTCATCCTTGTCTCCAATCTAATCTACTTTTGTCAGAAGAACTTGTCTGACAGAGCAAGATTCTTGGAGAATAGCTCGGCAAAGCAAAAACATTACATCATAGGCAAAAAGATGCCAAAGGCTGGAAACATCCATTCAGTAAGGATTTTGTCCCATCAAATTTGTAGATGCTAACTAAACATGCATGAGTGAATAAGTGAATAAAGTAATAGGGAGTACACCTCATAGACTTGTGGATGAAATAAATAAATAAATAAATAAATAAATAAATAAATAAATAAATAAAAAGTAATAGGGAAGAATTACCTATCCTGTGGAAGAAAGTTGTCAGAATCAGAAAACCCAGTCCCTGGACAAAGCTCTGCCCTCAGCTACTCTGACTTACCTTTACAAAATTGCTTCTATAGGGACAAAATATATAAACATGATTTTCAAACATTCTCTTTTTCTGAAGTAATAAAAAATATTCATGGTAAATATTAGTATTATAGTTTTGTCTTGATATTAAATGAACCCATGTGATCATTTTAACATTTCCAACATTTTAATCAAAACACACCAAAGCAAACGATCTGTGTTCTTGAGGGATTAATGTATTCATTTGCAAAAATCCTTGTCATAGAGTACAGTAAAACCTCATTAACTCAGACCCGTCTAATTCAGAAATCACCATAGGAAAGGCAGTGTGATATAATACAATGCTCTGTGGCTAGACATGGAGAACCAAAAAACTTTAGACAGCTCTTTAACTAGTTATGCATGATTTTAGAAAGTTCCGTCTTCCTCTACTTTCTGCTGATTTGTGTTTGAAGTGAGCTAAGTTATACAGTCGATCCATCTCATCATCATACGATTCTATGATTATCCACAGGCCAGACAGATTTTTTTCTACTTTATTCTTTTTATATGCAGTGTTTCTGGGAATTGAATTATTTTCGTCTGCATGTTTTTAATGTGGAATACCTGAAGAGCCCTGAGAGGTCACACAAGTTTCCTAAATTTGTGCAATTATGATTATGTGCATTTTTCTGGACAGAGGTTCAGACTTTTTATCTGGTTCCCGAAAGCACTGTATACCTCTCAAAAAAAGGTTAAGAACCACTTACTTTAATAATGAACTAATTCCAAGTGATTCCCATCAACTTGTAAAAATAGGCTCACAAAATGTTGCTTAATAATCATGCGTTGGTTCTGTAACATTCTGTAGCCCACATTGATAAATACAGTAGAAGCTACATTTCGAACTTTCACTAATGGCTGGGTCCCCATTTGGTGATAGGGCATGGACTGCATCCAGCTAGTTGACCCTGTTATATCAAACACCTTGAGCAATACCTACCCATAATAGGCTCTCAATGAAGCAAGGAAGAGAAAGGTCTACCCCTTTATCTCTAGGAGAAGAAGGCAGCTAGGGAGATCATTTCACATCTAGGTTTGGATTGAGATTCCAGAACTCTGTGAGATAATGGAAGAGTCAGCAGGTAAGGACAGTTAGTTCATCTTATCCACAAGTCAAGCCTTGTCATTTCAGTCAAGAAAAAACAGAGGTCCAAAGTGAGGAAAGGCCTTAACAAAAGGGTCAAGACCAAGACTAGATCCCTTAACCAACAGTACAGGTCTTCTCTTACACCCAGCTGGGAGAAAACACAGAACCTAATTATGGAATTCAAATGAACATGTCACCCAAATTCCAGTTCCTCTTTTTTTTTTTTTTCTGAGACGAAGTCTCGCTCTTGTCCCCCAGGCTGGAGTGCAGTGGCGCGATCTCACTGCAACCTCTGCCTCCCGGGTTCAAGCAATTCTCCTGCTTCAGCCTCCCGAGTAGCTGAGATTACAGGCGCCTGCCACCATGCCTGGCTAATTTTTGTATTTTTTAGTAGAGACAGGGTTTCACCATGTTGGCCAGGCTGTTCTTGAACTCATGACCTCAGGTGATCTACCCACTTCGGCCTCCCAAAGTGCTGGGATTACAGGCATGAGCCACCGCACCCAGCCTCCAGTTCCTTTTTTTTTTTTTAACTGAAATTCAGCAACTAACAATCTCTTTCTTCATTAAAAGTAGACATACCATAAATAACCTGCTTTTTCCCTGATTTATTGAAATAAAAATTCATTTAAAAACAAATAAAATAGCACCATGTCTTATATGTAACATAAGTTGAATTCAAATTCTTTGCCATTGTCATATCTGTAAAAATATCCAGTCCCATAAATAAAATTTCTTTGATAATGCAAACTTAATTAGTTTTTCAATAATGCTTGTTTATTTGTCTTAATTGCCAATTACGGGGGGCGGGGAAGGGCTCCTTTCACTAGTATCTTTAAAAACACATAGTATATAAAATTGAATGCCTGTGATTTCATTCCATTGCACTTGTGGTAATTGTCTTTTAAAACCCAAATAACATTTGCATTTCTTTTACCTTTTTACAGGAGCATTGTTTTAAACCCAGCCTATTTCCGGAATCATCTTCGTCAAGCAACAGTGTTTAGATGTCTGGAGAGGTATTCAGAGGCTGCCCGGTATGTTTGTTTTAACTTTTGTGAGGATTTATATCAAGTCAAATTAATTTTATTCTCAAATTCTGGTAATAGCATAACAGAACTCTCCATTTCTCTCATGGAATATGATTTTATCCAAATTATTGTCTATCAACGTCAAACCAGCAATTATTGACTATCTTTCTCTTTAATTAAAGCTATTCCATGTTCATAGCTCTTAACAAAATTCAAACTTTCCAGCCATGAGGTCACTGATGATGATGGAAAAACTTGCATAAAGTAATAGAAATGCGCTTGACCTCTTGCTCTCGGGGATGTTCTTGTCCACATTGTAATGACACATTTCTATAACTATCTCTTGAGCACTGGAGAGGAAATCCAATCACGTGAAAAAGATCCTAGAAACCCATTTCTGGAGCAGATGGCATCAGTTAAATAACACCAAGTTTGCTAGAGATGTCCCAGAGTATTTTTTTCTTGGACTCCAATGTATTTTTTAAAAACCTAGTGAAGCTTCCCCTAATATTTGCATCCCAGAACTTAGACTGTGGCAAAGAATTGCAAGAGTTGTGCAACAGCCTCAATGCTACACTCAGAATTCCTTCTTGCCTGTGACAACCCAGGCTTTTTTCCTTCCTGGATTAGCTCACAAGACTCCTCTTCTGTTCCATGAGCTCTCTCAAATAATTTTCCTTATTTCCTAATGTAGAGGTGCCTGTTATTTCTTCCTCATCCACTTTACCGCCCCAGGAATCTAGCAGGAAAATGTGGCTGGTTTCTAGATTTACTCCAAGCACAACTTCTAAGGATAAATCTGCAGGAATCGAGATGGGGTGCCTAGGTTGCAGGTGACTACTGTCTAGAACATTTTTAAATAATACTATCTTTGACATTGGAAGCAAGAGTTTGAGTGTATAATAAAATGGCTTCATAAAATTGACACTGTGTCAAGCCTGTTATCCCAGCACTTTGGGAGGCCGAGGCAGGTGGATCACCTGAGGTCGGGAGTTTGAGACCAGCCTGACCAACATGAAGAAACCCTGTCTCTACTGAAAACACAAAAAATTAGCCTGGCATGGTGGTACATGCCTGTAATCCCAGCTAGTCAGGAGGTTGAGGTAGGAGAATCGCTTGAACCCAGGAGGTAGAGGTTGTGGTGAGCCGAGATCGCGCCATTGCACTCCAGCCTGGGCAACGAGAGCGAAACTCCATCTCAAAAAAAAAAAAAAAAAATTGACATTGTGAGGTTTACATGAATTCCATGTTTGTAAGATGTTCCCAGGAGTTGCCTGAACTCAGTTAAATAGATATGGAAAGCAGAGTTCATCTCAATTGCTCTCACTTTGCAGTCAAACAACCAAAATGCCACAACATCTTTTTATCTGTGTGAAGATCCACTTTGAACAGTTTTTAAAAGGTCTTTATCACTCTCTTTTTTGCATATTTCCCCCTCTACTATTTCTGCAATGTGTTTTATCTAAGGTACTCACACATTACTTCTTCCTACTTTTTATTTACTCCACTGAAATGTCTCTGTGGCTCACTTTCTGACCACACATGTTTCCTCGCAGTATGAATGAGAGAGAATGTAAGAGATGATAGTAAGTGTCCTTCTGTTTCACATTTAAATAAACAGGTTTTAATAAAGGTCACTAGCTACAAATGAAGCTAGTAAGTTCAGCATTAGCAGGTAACAGCCATCTGCAAAATAGCCTCCATTAAGAGGTGGTGTATTGATACATCTTGAATCCAATTGAAAGATCAATAGAAGGCTAGACACAATTTCAGAACTAGATTTCAGCTAGTAAAAGAATGCTAGTGGTGTGCTTATACAGACTCTAAAGATCAAATTGTTAAATATTCAGGAATTCGGAGCGAGCTAGTTGCTAAACTGTAGGAGAAATTAGCAATGCTGGGAGAAGCTACACTGTTGAAATTGCAAATGTTACAAATCCAGGCTTTTTTTTACTTTTAGGAGAGCCAGGTTACCAGCATACCATTGGCTATAACATAATTGTATCAAGCCTGTTGGAGCCAAAGTAATGACATAAATTTTTCGTGGGTCCCAAAACAAACAACAAGAACTTAAAAATTTGGAATTTGTCAATATTTGCCCTGTGAAATTGGCACAGACTATTCCACTGCCCTTGTCATGTATACTGAATTAGGTATATCTGCAGTGAAATAGGCATATCTGCTTAATATCATTTGATGACTGACCTGATAATGCTTCTTGAGAAAATTCCTGGTAATTCTTGGTTATGCTGGTGTGCAGTTTCTATAGAGATGCAATACAATTACTGTCAGGTACAAGTATTTTTCATCTTGGTTTCTTTAGCAATTATAGCCTTCAATATACAGTATAAGGTCATTCCCCCCAAGAGAAAGGATGCTATGAACTGTGAACATAAATATCGTAGTGTATCTTAGCAGCTAGATTTCTAATGTAAATCAACATATATAAAGCAATATATACAGCTTTTTTTTTTTTTTGAGACAGTCTTGTTCTGCTGCCCAGGCTGGAGTACAGTGGCACAGTCTCAGCGCTCACTGTAACCTCCACCTCTCAGGTTCAAGCAATTCTCCTCCCTCAGCCTCCTGAGTAGCTGGGTCTATAGGCACACACCACCACACCCAGCTAATTTTTGTATTTTTAGTCTAGATGGGGTTTCACCGTGTTGGCCAGGCTGGTCTCAAACTCCTGACCTCGGGTGATTCCTGGCATTGGCCTCACAAAGTGCTGGGATTGCAGATGTGAGACACTGCACCTGGCTTACAGCATTTATGTTTATCAATCAATCTATTGGAGATTTGAGTAGTTTGATTCAGGCCTCTTACAAGTATTTTATGTCAAAATTCATTGGTAAAGACAACACATCAAGGTTATTTCCTGTAGCATGCTACGCAGTCATGTTTCTTGGATTGAGAGGCACCTACCACATATGAAAAAAATGCCATTATTATGTGACTTAGGAGATCCTAAAACCATAATTCCAAAGGAAATGCATCAGCCCATATCTTATCCAAGATAAAGGTATATATAACCAGTCCCTGGAAATTAGAATGTCTTAGGTTTTCTGAGCCTAACCATCATCACCCATGAAGGGATTTCTAGTAAATAGGCCAGAATGATTCCCAGAACAGCCTCATTTAAAAAGCCCAAACTCTCAACAAGAGAGGCTGGAGGAAATGCTACTCCCTGTGGTTGGAGGGAAGATATCAGGTTTACAATGGACAGATTCTTTTATTTTACAGGTCAATATGCTTTCAGTAACATTCTACCAGAAGAAAGTGTAAGAATACATAAATTATAGAAATTGAACAAAAATGGAGATATTTTATTATGGTTTAGGCTCTGCAGGGATGCTAGTCACATTGCGGAGATGGCTGGCACTGGTTAAATTGATAAAATCACATTTTCAGACCACAAATTAAGTTAAGATAGCTCTAACCCCCGTTACCAAGAACAAGCCACCTTGTGAAGCTTTAACTGAAATAGAAAGTTGCAAAGCTTTTTAACATCTTTCTGTTTCAATGCATACAAAAAATCTGTGTTGACATAGAATGAATGTCATCACTCAAATCTGCCTTTCCTCCTCCAGCACTCATACTTACACACACACACACACACACACACACACACACCCCATTTGGGACTACCTTCATGAGAAGAAAATATTCAAAGACATAAAATCAAAGAAAAGCCAAGACTGTTTTGTGAAGACTGCTAATGACTTTTGACAATACAGGTATCATGGTGTCTTTTATCTCTTTGTGCTCCATGACTAGCACAAGGTCTAAAATATGCCAAGCACCAGTTAGGGGGTTGTGAATTAAATTAGCAGGTTTTTGAGTCTGTGGTACTATGTGGTTGATAACCATTCAGCTATATCAATAAGATATTACATAAAATTCTTTTTAGAACCCTGATTGAAAGATAAATATGAGAACTGTGCTCATAGTAGTGAAGATTATGGGATAGCATGATGACTTCTAAATTGAAAATACATAGGCAAAAAACCATATAACATTGCACAGGGTCTTTATTTAAAACCACATTGTGTAAGAAGCAGCTAACAGAAGGTAAAACTAAAGAAAAAATGCAACAAAGTCTCTTTAATGCATCATTGATAAAGAATTTTCTGCTGGCTGCAGTGGCTCACGCCTGTAATCCCAGCACTTTGGGAGGCCAAGGTGGGCAGATCACCTGAGGCCAAGAGTTCGAGAGCAGCCTGGCCAACATGGTGCAACCCCGTCTCTACTAAAAATACAAAAATTAGCCAGGCATGCTGGCAGACACCTGTAATCCCAGCTACTTGGGAGGCTGAGGCTGGAGAATCACTTGAACCCAGGAGGCGGGGCTTGCGGTGAGTGGAGATCGTGCCATTGCAGTCCAGCCTGGGCGATGAGAGTGAAACTCTGTCTCAAAAAAAAAAAAAAAAGAGAAAAAAGAAAAAAGAATTTTCTGTGTATTTCTACATGCATGGGCTAGATAAGGGATACAAAAACAGGAATAACACATTCAAATGCTTATAAAGCCCAGGCAGATGATGTGTGTATCAGACCAATTAAAAGATAAAATATGTTCTGCGAACTACAGTGAGCTGGAGACCACTCACTAAAGTGACCATAAAATTAATCTTTCAAACTAGATACCTGTGATAGTGAAAGTGGACACTATTAAGAATTACGCCAGGAAAACAGGTACAAACCAGGACTTTCACAAGCACACCGGCCATATCATCACCCTACCACTGGCCCTTCCAAAGAGAGTGGCCATCACTCAAGTCCAACTAATGTTGCTCTATGGGAATGTAGGTTCAACTTTGCAGATTTTTTGAATCTTCAAGAGATAGTATTAATATAACTTCAGAGCATTCCAATAAATTTATTTACTTTTTAAAATATTTTCAACTTTCATTTTAGATTCATGGGATACATGTGCGGGTTTATTACATGAGTATATTACATGACACTGAGGTTTGGGATGCAAATGGCCCTGTTACCCAGGTAGTGAGCATAGTACCCAGTTGGTAGTTTATCCACCCTTACGCCCCTCCCTCTCTCCCCACTTTAGCAGTACCCAATGTTTATTGTTTCCATCTTTATGTCCATAAGTACCCAAAGTTTAGCTCCTACTTATAAGTGAGAACATGCAGTACTTGGTTTTCTATTCCTATGTTAATTTACACTTAGGATAATGGCCTCCAGCAGCATCCATGTTGCTGTAAAGAACATGGTTTCATTCTTTATATGGCTGTGTAGTAATCCATGATGTATATGTACCACATTTTCTTTATCCAGTCCACTGGTGTTGGACACCAAGGTTAAGTCCATGTCTTTACTATTGTGGATAGTGCTATAATGAACATACAAGTGTATGTGTCTTTTTGGTGGAATGGTTTGTTTTCCTTTGGGTATACACCAAGAAGTGGGATTGCTGACTTGAATGGTGGCTCTGTTTTAAGTTCTTTTGAGGCGGGAAATTAAAGAAAAACAAAATTAAAAAGAAAGAGAAATAAACTTTCCTGTATTAGGCTGACTTGTCCCAGAGGCAGCAACAGGCACAGCCCAGACCCAGGAAAAGTCTTGATAATACTATCTAATGTGCTCTGGAGACTCTCCCAGCACTCCCTCAACCTAGGGAGAAGAAAAACAAATTTTCCTTTGTTTTATGGAATGAGTTTATAGATTCCTGTTCTCTGTAACTAGTGACTTCAAGTATTCTGTTTTATTTAAGCAGTAGAATGAAGGTCATGAGCCTCTGAGCAGGCCTGAGTTACAGCTACCTGGGTGCCATAGTGAAGGTTATGGGATAAGCCCGTGCCTAGGCAAACCAAGATAATGGACATCTGGGTTGCATAGCAACAGTCATGTGCAATCCTGAGTTATGAACCTGTTACAATTTGATTAACTGTCTTTGTCCCGCCTCTGTATCCCTGCTTTCAGGCCACTGTAAGCTTGCTTCAAGCTAGCCCACCCCCTTTTGTAAAGTGTGTATAAAAGTCAAGTGCTGTCTTTGTTCTGGGCCCAGTCTTTGGACGTCAAGTCTGCTGGGTCTGAGTGCACTCAATAATAAAGATATCCTCCTGTATACATCCCAAGGTCTCTCTCTGGTCCTCCTGATTCTGCAACACTTTGAGAAGTCTCCAAACTGCTTTCAACAATGGCTGAACTAATTTACATTCCCACCAAGAGTGGATAAGCATTCTCTTTTCTCTGCAGCCTCACAAGCATCTATTATTTTTTGACTTTTTAGTAACAACCTTTCCAACTGATGTGAAATGGCATCTCATTGTGGTTTTGATTTGCATCTCTCTGATTATTAGCTATGTTGAGCATTTTTTTATATTTGTTAGCCATTTGTATGTCTTCCTTTGAGAAGTGTCTGTTCATGTTCTTTGCCTAATTTTTAATGGTTTTTTATTGTGGTTTGCTTGTTTTTTGCTTAAGTTCCTTATAAATTCTGGATATTAGACCTTGTCAGATGCTTAATTGGGAAATATTTTCTCCCATTTTGTAGGTTGCCTGTTTACACTGTTGATGGTTTATTTTGCTGTGCAGAAGCTCTTTAGTTTAATTAGGCCCTCCTTGTCAATTATTATGTTTTGAGGACACTGCCATAAACTCTTTGCCAAGGCCAATGTCTAGAATGGTAGGTATATCCTAGGTTTTCTTCCAAGATTTTTATAGTTTGAGGTTTTATATTTAAATCTTTAATCCATCTTGAGTTAATTTTTGTGTATGGTGAAAGGTAGTGGTCCAGTTTCATTCTTCTGCATATGGCTAGCCAGCTGTCCTAGCATCATTTATTGAATATGAAGTCCTTTCCCCATTCCTTATTTTTGTTAACTTTGTCAAAGATCAGATGATGTTAGGGGTGCAGCTTTATTTCTGGATTCTCTGTTCTGTTCTGTAGGTCTCTGTGTGTGTTTTTGTACCAGTACTATGCTGTTTTGCTTACTGTAGCCTTATGGTATAGTCTGAAGTCAGGTAATGTGATGCCTCCAGCTTTGTTCTTTTTGCTTAGGGATTACTTTGGCTATATGGGCTCTTGCTTGGTTTCATATGAATTTTAGAATATTTTTTCCAATGCTGTGAAAAATGACATTGGTAGTTTGATAGGAATAGTGTTGAATCTGTAGATTGCTTTGGGCAATATGACCATTTTAATGATATTAATTCTGCAAATCCATTAGTCTGGCATGTTTTTCCATTTATTTGTGCCATCTATGATTTATCTCAGTAGTGTTTTATAGTTCTCCTTTCATCTCCTTAGTTAGCTGTGTTCCTAGGTATTTCATTTTTGTATGTGTGGTTATTGTAAATGAGACTGCATTCTTGATTTGACTCTGAGCTTGAACATTATTGGTGTATAAAAATGCTAGGCATGGTGACTCATGTCTGTAATCCCGGAATTTTAAGAAGCCGAAATGGGAGGATCACTCAAGGCCAGGAGTTTGAGACTAGCCTGGGCAACACAGCAAGACTCTGTTTCTGAAGAAAAAACAAACTTTTTTTTTTAATTAGCTGGGCATGGTGGCACACACATGTAGTACTAGCTACTCAGTAGGCTAAGGCAGGAAGATCGCTTAAGCCCAGGAGTTCGAGGCTGGAATGAACTATGATCATGCCACTGCACTCCATCCTAGAGTTCAGACTCTGTCTCCTAGTGAGACCCTGTCTCTAAAAACATCAATAAATAAATAAAAAGGAAAAAGAATGCTACTGATTTTTGTACACTTATTTTGTATCCCAAAACTTTACTGAAGTCATTTATCAGTTCTAGGAGCTTTTGGTAGTCTTCTAGCATAGAATCATATTGTCTGTGAAAAGAGATAATCTGACTTCTTTTTTTTCTGTTTGTATGCTTTTTATTTCTTTCTTTTGCCTAAGTTTGCCGGCTAGGACTTGCAGTACGATGTTGAATAAGAGCTGGCATACTTGTTTCTTCCTTTTCTTAAGGGGAATGCTTCCAGCTTTTGCCCATTTAGTAGGTTGCTGGCTGGTCTACAGCCATACCACCCTGAATGCACCTGATCTCATAAGTATGATGTTGACTCCAGGTTTGTCATAGATGGCTTTTATTATTTGGAGGTATGTTTCTTCAATGCCTAGTTTGCTGAGGGTTTTTGTCATGAAGGGAATGTTGGATTTTATTGGAAGCTTTTTCTGTGTCTATTTAGATGATAATATGGTTTTTGTGTTTAATTCTGTTTATGTGATGAATCACATTTATTGATCCACCTATGTTGAATCAACCTTGTACCCCAGGAATGAAGCTTACTTTATTATGGTGAATTAACTTTTTGATGTGCTGCTGGATTCAGTTTGCCAGTATTTTGTTGATTTTGTGCCTGTAGTTTTCTTTTTTCATTGTGTCTTTGCCAGATTTTGGTATCAGGATGATGCTGGTTTTGTAGAATAACTTAGAGAGAAGTCCCTCCTCCTTGATTTTTTTTGGAATAGTTTTAGTAGTATTGCTCCAGCTCTTCTTTGTATATTTGGTAGAATTTGGGTGTGAATCCATCTGGTCCAGGTCTTTTTTTGGTTGGTAGGTTTTTTATTACTGATTCAACTTTGGAACTCGATATTGGTCTGTCTAGGGGAGTTGGGTTTCGAGGATTCAGGTGCTGGCTGTAATGGGGAGGGGCAGCCTCAGGTCACTGGCTGAACTCTCAGGTGAGGGCAAGCAGAGTTGCTTAGGTGGTAGGAGCCCAACGGAAATCACAGGCCTGTGGGGTACGATTTTCGGAAGTACTTTGAGCCACCATTGAAATGCTCAGGCCGGGGCTGGGTGGGTGCACTGGAAGCCATAAGACCCCAAGATCCGTTTGGGAAGGGGCACGGAGTCAAGCGAAAAGCAGTCTGGCTGTCTGTCTGCAGGGCAGTTGCGGCAAGCTAGAGGCACGAAAGTACTTAGGCTTTCTGTTCCCTCTCCAGCCTGGGGGCAGCAGGGGTAAGGACCACGGCAGCAGCAATGGCAGAGGGCCTGTCACTTACCTCTGGGAGCCCCACCACAAAAACAAAAACAAACACACACACACACACACACACACACACACACACACGCCACAACGTGCCAGAGTGGTCAGGCCGGGTGGGGCAGCTATGCTGGGAGCCCCAACCAGTGGGCCTTGTAACAGAGCAACGTAGGGCAGGGGCTCACAGGGAAAGCAGCCTGGCCTCCTCTCTGATGGAGTCATGCAAAAGAGCTCAGGCTCTTTGTTCCCTCCCAACCTGGGGGCAACAGAGGGGGGCACAATGGCCTTGGCAATCACGGTAGGTCTGTCCGTTGTGTCCCAGAGAAACTCAGAGCTGCAGCCAACCAGAGTGCTCAGGTGAGGCAGAAGAATAGGGTCTGGAGGTAAGGAACCTACTGCGGATTCATGCTGAGTGTCAGAGGCTACTCCCTTTTTAACCCCTCCTTTTCCTGCGTGGCAGTCGAAAAATGAAAGTACCTCTGATTGGTCCCCTGCCACAACCAATCAGACTGGTCATGGGCCTACTCATCACTTGGAGTGGTTCCCTCCCACAACCAATCAGACTGGTCACGGAACTTTATTTGCATATAGTAAACCAAAGGGAAACGTCTAAAGGGTATTTAAGCCCCAAGAAATTCCGTAACTGAGGCTCTTGAGCCGCTTGCTCCAGCCGGCTCCTGCCCTGTGAAGTGCACTTTCGTTTACAATAAATCTCTGCTTTTGCTGCCTTGCTTTGTGTGTGCATTTTCTCTAATTCTTTGTTCAAAACACCAAGAACCTGGACAACTGCCTATGACCAGTAACACAGGCAGGTGTGCACACTGGAGGCCCAAGCCGGTGGGACTTGCCTGGCGAGCAGCAGCAGAGGTGCGGTCTGTAGTCTGCTCCTGAGCACTGCGGCTGCTGCAGCTATCCTAAGGGCATGCGAAAGAGCCTAGCCTCCCCTGTTGGTGGGGCTACTGTAGCTGGCTCTAGGGTGCTCTGGGATCCAAGATCCATTGGGCTTCACATGGGCTTGAGTGGTGCCTCCGCACAGATTCCAGGCAGCTCTCTGTGTCTGTCTGGAGACCCTGGAGAGTCAGAGGGGCTCTTCCATGGCCAGGACTACAAAGGCCTGTGGTGGAATTGTGGATCCCCCAGGAGCTCTTATTCAATCACCCTTTCCCCCACGACACGGCAATTCCTCTGGCTCTGCACCAATCCCAGGTGGGTGGCTGTCCTGCTTTGCTCCTCTCTTTTGGGTCCTGTTGTGTATTGCTTCCTTGGTGAATTCCAACTTGGCCTCCTGGAGGATGCATTTGAAGAGCTTAGTGTTTTCTCTCCACTGTTTTCTCTCCAGGAGCCACAGGCTCTAGCTGCTTCTAGTCTGCCATCTTGAACCAGAACCCTCGATTTTTAAATATTGCCAGTTATTTCAGTTTTTTTAAAGTGCAGAATCATCTTAAGAAAGCTGAAGTGGTCTTATCTATGAAATGAATGAGTTCAGTAGAATCAATTTACCATGTGACCAATTTGCAGAATTCATGAATTTTAAAGTTTGCTAAAAACTTATTTTAAGAGATAGTCTTATTGAATATATCTAACTGATATAGTACATTTTCCTATGTACATTTAGCAATTTTTTATTTTAGCAAAAATTGCTTTAAAAAGTTTAGCAATTTTTTTAATTTTAGAGAATTTTCAAAAGCTAAAGTCACGGAATGATTTATTCTCATTAACATGTTCTTCTTCTGTGTGTAGTTATGACTGTTGTTCTTTAATATATTCTATTACTATTCCTATGAATACAATTAAAATTTTAATTTGGAAGTTTAAAAATTTATACTGATTTATTTTTAAAATTTTAAGTCATATTCTGTTGCTTCTAGACCCTTTGGCTAAGATCAAAGGCAAAAAGTAATTTCCTGTTTTTAATATTTTATTATTTTTAGAATTTTCCCCAGTTTTTGCAGAGTGATCAAATGTATCTATTTAATGAAATATATTTTAAACAAGTAATATCATTTGCAAGAATTCATATTAATCAGACAATTGCAACAGCTCTCTGCTTTATCTTCTGAAACTAAAGAAGCCAAAATAGGGAAAATCAACAGTGAGCGCCTAGCACAATCTGAGCTGCGGATCCCACAGAGTGGAAGACTGAAGAACAGAGAGAAATGGAAGGCCCCAGATCTCTGGAGTCCTGGCTCCCTGCAAGTCCATCTAGTAGGATTGCTATAAATTGTCTAAAGAGTTAAAATAAACAAATTTTTGTAAATAAATATGCTTATGAATTTGACAAACTGGTCATTCGGCAAACTCATCAGCTGGTAAATAACTAAGAGCCCATGGAAGGCTGAGGGCCACAGTATCGGATCTGCAACCTGGATCAAAGCCTGTCTTCTAGTTGTAAATGAATCCTGTAGTTTAATGTCTCAACAGAATAAACCATTCCATGTCTTTCGTTTTCGAAAATTTGAAAATGCACTGAAATCAAAAATATCACTAAATATATTTTTAACAATTCTTGCTAAAATAAAAAATTGCTAAATGTACATATGAATATGTATTCATATCAGTTGAATATATTCAATAAGATTATTTCTTAAAATATGTTTTTAGCAAACTCTTACCCTAAATGTTGTAAAAGCTTAAGGGTAAAGGCTGAGCTTCCTTTCACCACTAAGAGCGATCCTTCCCATGTCAAATTTTGTCCTAAATCATTTAGGGAAATATTTTAGTCCAAAGCCAGCTGTTAAAAAAAAAAAAAGATGTATTTTACCAAGTTCAATTCAATAGCTTTGGTGAATTCACTATTTGCCACAAATCTGGTCTCTTCTCCTTTTCATTTTGTAATACTCTTATTTAATATCATATAACATTTATTATCATGAGAAATAGATTAAATAATAAAAATAGGTATTCTAAAATGTTCTTATCTTTAGCCTTTTTAAAATAATGCACTAACTGACACTGGATTTCAAAGCTATTTTATATTACACATGCCTTTCAGGATTTAAGAAAAACAACAAATTGGTAAGATCCCACTAAATTGTGTCAGTTGCCTACCACTACACTAAGAATTTTCTCCCTCAGAGCTCATTCTCAGCTTCACCTCTCTCACTCTTGGCCTCTGACAGTGTCTTTCTGTTTACTCCTATTTTACCATATCAGCTGCCTGCCGCTCTTATCATCCTCCGCACCTGTCCTTCTTCTTGTTTTTATACCTCTGTCCACTTCTTCAGAATTTCCCATTCCCTTCTCAGAATTTGCTCCACAGAGATTAGCATAATTCCCCCATGTGAGCATAACCCGCCCTCTGGTTCACTCATAAGCCATTCTCAAAACATCTCATGCAGTCTTATAAGCTCTTGGCCCTCCTTAGTGATTGCTGTTGTTTTAACTGATCAGTGATTACAATTGCTTTTGTTTTATTTTATTTTGACACTCTGAGTTTGAGATATTTGAAACCTGCTCTCTGGATGAGTGTACAGTAAAAACCTCAAAGACAATCAATTGCCTTAAAAACAGCCATTTCCTTTAGAAATGAATGATCTGCTAGCCTAAGACGAGACACATTAAAGTATTCATTTTTGAACAAGAATTAGTATAACATTTAGGGTCTGTGCTATAAATGATTATCAAGATACCTTGTTCCATTTTTGCCAAGCAGCAGCTTATTTCTTTCTTTTTTTTTTCTTGGCTTACAAAATTTAATCCTACTGGAAATAATGCATATATAAATCACAATCTGCCAAAAGAAAAGAGTGATCCAAAAATAAATTGAGGTGTTCAGAAATCTAGTAACATAAAACAGTAGCATTGCTGTAGATAAGTAATCACTCAGAAGAAGTACTGTACCAGCAAGCGGGGAGAAACTGTGTCAGCTTTTTTGGTGTCAGGGAACTCTATGATTTTAAATGAGATTATTATGTATCTCACAAGGGAGGAGAATATTCTCACAGGTAGACTCAAGACAAGTGGTTCTGAAGAGATGATGGTAGTGTTGAGAGTTTAACTTAGTTCTTATTCACTTAGAAGTCTAAGATGCATTCATTCATCATGCAAGATTCTAAAAATACATCGCAGATTTTTTTGGTTAAAATAAGTTCTCATTTATGCCTACAAATAGATTAAATGAAGCCTACAGGCTGGCTAATTTTTATTCTTAAACTGGCCATCTGCCTGAAGGGCTTTCTCTTTATTCAAGGCATTTCACCATTCTCAGGGCAGTTTAGTGTGTTCTAGCATTAATCTTTGTAACATACATTTACACACTGGAAGATAGACATGATAATTCCACCACTAAGTGGCTTTCCTGTTCCCTAAATATCATAAAGCTGTATGAATGCTAAGCACTGTAAAAATGTTGTGTCTTGGTGTATGATATCTAAAACTGACATTAATAAAGACAGATTGAGTCATTTGCCATAGCTTAGGTCAAATATCTGACTTTAAGACTACAGCTCATCCAATATTTAGGTAAGTAGTAGAAGTCTTATATTTGTAATTTTGAGAAAATAGATGAAGGTTAAAATATAGTAAAACTTCAAGTTTATAGTCATCTCTTCTCTTTTAAGGATTTAAAATTACAGAATTTTAAACATATAATCTTATAACAAAAACACTAATTTTAATGTTCCAGTGACAGCAGGCAGTTGAAGAAAAGCAGGTGACCTTATGAAAAGATGGCCTTTTGAACATGTTCCAAATAACTAGTAAATAATGGCAAGGATACATATTTTTTCTGTAAAAATATAGAAAAACACTTTTTAAAAACTCAGGCTGTTGATAAGGACATCCAAAAACCCATTAGTGAAAAACAAACATTGATTGACTTTGTTAATTTCTCCATCCTGCATTGATGTTAATCATGATAGTTATTTTTGCCCCTTTTTTCTTTTGAATGATATGCTATGAATTTGCATTACCTCTAAACATTTCTAAAATAATTTATCGTGCAAAATTCTTGGGTTGTGTGCACTTTCTGCAAATATTGGTTTAGAAAACTTGTGGCAGAGTACAAAGAAAGATACTTTTTCTTTGCTTAGATCCAGCCTTGCATATTAAAGAAAAGTCAGAGGTGGGGGCAACAAAAACTACAAAAGAGGGAACACAGAGAGGCCCCAAAATGTCATGTTAAATCTCTTCCCTCCCTTCTCCCTTTCAATCATGTCCTCCTGATTCTACATTTTCTTTTTTTTTTTTTTTTTTTTCTTTTGAGACAGAGTCTTGCTCTGTCACCAGGCTGGAGTGCAGTAGCGCAATCTCAGCTCACTGCAACCTTCGCCTCCCAGGTTCAAGCAATTCCCCTGCCTCAGCCTCCCAAGTAGCTGGGACTACAGGCTTGTGCCACCATGCCTGGTTGACGTTTTTGTGTGTTTTAGTAGAGACAGGGTTTCACCATGTTGGCCAGGATGGTCTCGATCTCCTGACCTCGTGATCCACCCGCCTCAGCCTCCCAGAGTGCTGGGAATACAGGCGTGAGCCACCGCACCCGGCCTGATTCTACATTTTCTACAAAAATGTAATGTAGAGAACCAATTAAGCATAGAGATATTTAGCCAAAAGGAGTGGAGGTTTAAGTTGGAGAGTTCTGTGCTGTTTTCTAATACCTAAGTGTTGCCAAGTGAATTTGTTTAGTCTGCAAATACTAAAATTATGACAAATAGATCTAAATCTCTGAGTTTTTAACCTGTTAATCAGAGATAATAATAGCGTCTATGTCACGGAGGTTATGAGGATTAAATGAGACAATTTATATAGAGCACTTAGCACAGTATTTGGCACATCATAAACTCTCAATTTTAAAAATGAGCTATTGTCGTTGTTTTTGTTATTGTTAACAATTAGAGCTCTTTGAAGACAGATGAAGCTACCTCAAAAAACAATGAGTTTCTCAATCTTGAAACCCAAATGAGTTGAGTAATCACTTAGCTGGGGTATTATAGCATAAGACTATTAAACCCCAACTTATTCCAAGTCTATGTTTTTGGAAAGCCCACTGTTAACATAGAGGATGAAGGGTCAAGACTCTGGCTGATTTAAGGAGTTGAGAGGGGCAAGCAAGAGTCTGGCTGTTGTTGGTGGTGGTGTTTTTTTTTTTTTTTTGTATATGGTATGCCATGAATTTTAGCAGTCTGCTTCATTCTGAGTGATATTTCAATTATTCCTGAAAGGAGTTAGAGTGTGGAGTCCCCCAAGATGGAAAGGTGGAACTTCAAATTACATAGAGCAAGACTGTATCAGTCAGCTGGTCCCGACTCCAACTCCCCTTCTTTCCTTTCCTTCATTTCTGTCAAAGACAGTAACACTGACAAAGATCAGGCTGGAAATTCTAACAGCAAACTCTGAAATTCTTACTCTTTTTAAAAAATACTGGCTTCAGTTCATCACACTATTATGCACATAAATTAATCTTGATGCCACTAATTGTGAAGGTTGCTTACAAGAGAAAAGTTCTGTTTCTGGATCGGTCTGCTAAAGAGTAATTAGGTACACTAGAGAATCACGGTCAAGCCAGAGAGGCATGTGTTCTACTCCCAGAATTGCAAATGACCCTATGTGTGACTTTGGGCAAGTAAATTAAGCTCTTTGACTTTCAATTTCCTCAACCATAATGGAGATAATAATATATCTAGAGATAATATATACTGCACTACAAAGTAATCATAAGGATTAAATGAAATAATGAATATAAAAGACTAAACTCACTGCCTGGCACATTATAAGCCCTCAATTAGTCATTGCTGCTGCTACTGCTGTCATTGTTGATACAAGTTTTGAAGAATGGTATTTAAAACCTTAATACATTCCCTCTGAATTAGTTCTATTGAGTGAAACACTGGTATGAACAGTATGTTCCTGGACTGTCATCCCAATTTATGTCAGTTTGAGCAGCCATCATCAATGACCCTTTGCTCTATGCCAAACTTTGTCAGATGCTTGCTGTGTATTATCTTTGTTTCTCATAACTCTGCAGAGAAATTATGTTTTGCATTTGGTAGGTGAGCAAACTGAAGCTAGAGTTTAAATGACTTGTCGAAGATTACACTGCCGATAAGCAGCAAATCTGGACTTTGTGCTTTATTTTATGTCAAGACCCAAATTCCTGCATGAAAGGATGATAAGGGTATTGTTAGAATTATTTGTATTTTTCATTTCATCGAGTTTGAAATGGTATTGTCTCATTGTGGTTCTCATTTTCATTTTCTTGATTACTAATGAGCATATTAAGTATATTTACTGAGCATTTTTAGTACATTTATTAGACAATCATGTTTCTTCTTCTGTAAAGTACTCATTTGTATCTTTGTTTTTGCTCACTTTTTACTGGATTGTTTGTCTTTCATCATCAAATATTAGACTTCTTTATATATTCTCAGTTCTAATAATTTTTGGTAATATGTGTTGTAGGTAATTTCTTCTGACTTAAGATAACTTCATGGTGTCTTTTGATGAAAATAAGCTTAAAATCTTGGTTTTAGTGTATCAAATATAATCAGGTTTCTTTATGATTTTCAATGTTTGAGTTTAAAAAAATCTTCTTCAATATCAAGCTCTTTAACATAGTTTTCCATATCTATGAACATTTTACAGTTTTCCCTTTTCCTTTAAAGTTTCAACCCAATGGTAATTGATTTCTGCGTATGAGAGAGCTAGGAATCTGCTATCAAGTTTTCACCTCAGTGGATAACCAATTATTTTGACACCATTTTATCAAATCTTTTTGCTACTGATCTTCAATATCAGCTCTGTCCACATCCATTTTCCATATATGAATATGTTGATCTTTTGTCTGTATGCTACTCATTTATTTGTCTATTGCACCACCAAACCACACTATGCTGTATAAGATAATTTTGTAACATGTCTTGTTATCTGGCAAAGCAAATCTCTCCAACTGATTCTTTTTCAGGAATGCCATGTCTATTCTTTGCCTTTTGTTCTTTCATATACATTGTAAAAGAACTTGAATTCCAAATCAGAATAGTGTAGGTTCTGGTTAGGAATTCCCAAGGAAGACTTTCTTACTTTTTCTGTTGCTGCACTAAGATCCAAGACCAAGACTGGCATTAGTTCCACCATTTCACTCTGCAAAAGTTTCTCCTAATTCTTTCACTGAGCATGTTGTTTCTTAAGGAAACTTTCTTGTGGGTAATCATTTATTCAGTCTGCATTTTATTCAAACTCCAGTCTTTGTCTCTTTTTCCCCATGTGCATATCCTAATAAAACAGAGTTACCAGACTTCTAAGAACTAACAGATATTTTCAGAAAAAACACCAGCTTCAGTGTGTGTTTACCAAAAACTCTCTTAATTATATAACCCTACCCTATATTTAAAAATGTCTATTAGATGCAGGAACCAAGCATAAAAAACTCCCAATGGCCAAAGCTGAAACAATTTTAAAATCAAAATAAATATTGATAGTATCCGATTATAACCTCTAGAATTAAATGAATATCTATGCATCCATACTGATATAAAAATAATTTGATAGATAAATGTGTGGCAGATAAATAAAAAAAGCTCTTCTTTACAGAATACTACCAACTAATAAATGTAGAAAGAATGGAAGAATGGAAGAATCAATATGAGTAAATACCACAGTAATAATTATTGCAGGCAAAATTTACTAATGGTCTTCTGGTTTCCAGTCCAGTTTGCAGGGAGCTTAGAAGTCATTACTCCACACTAACAACAAGTAAAATGCTGAACAAACAGAAAAAATCAACATCTAGACTAACCTAATTTTTTTAGATTAGTCAGAGAAGTGAGGTCACTGAGCAAACCACTGCCCCCAAAATTGGAGAGACAGACAAGTAGATACAAAGAATAATAGCTTACTGAAGGAGAAACCCTGAGTGGAAACCTCATCAGGAACCACTACCAGGTACAAAACCTGAAATGTAACTGATGAATTGCTGGAAGCTCAATGTGGACAATTCTGAGAGTTAAAAATTTCTGGAGGACCAAATTCAAATGAGAGGTGACGCTTAAGGTTTTACCTCTGAGAGCTATACCAGGTCCTTACGGTAAAGATCAGAATAAAAACCCCTCATACTTTTGGCAGGGGAAGGAGAAATGAAATCATTTTGAAATACACCACAGCATTCTGTTCTTTAACAAGGCCTGCCCTCAGGAGAAACTAACAAGAGCCTAGCCTGCTGTGGTTTTACTAGAACCTAATTTACCTGAGAGAAGGGAAATATCCAGCTCCAGTTCCCTCTAGCCGTCCTATTGCACCTAAGGGTGAAAACAAAAAAAAAAAAACAACTGAGAAGCATTGGTCAAGTTCACAGTTCAAAGGCACAGGCTCACTAAAAGACTGAGACCTAATTATAGAACAATTCCCCTACCCCCACACCTTACCACTACATTACTCGTCGTAGTCTTTATAGTCTTTGTACTGCAGTTCCTTTTACCCACTACATTAATAAAAACGTGCAAGGCACACTAAAAGGCTAAAAACACAGTTTGAAGAGAACGACTGAACAACCATCAGAGCCAGAATCAGACATGGCAGGAATGCTGGAATTACCAGAACAGGAATTCTAAAAGAAACTGTGATTAATTTGTTAGGGCTTTAATGGGAAAAGGAGACAACATGCAGGGACAGATGAATAATAAAAGTAAAGAATGAAAATTCTAAGAAAAAAATCAAACAGAAATTCTAGAGATCAAAAACACTGTAACAGAAATGAAGAGTGTCTCTGATGAGCTCATCAGTAGACTGACATGACCAAAGAAAGAATCTCTGAGCTTGAGGATATGACAATAAAAACTTCCAAACCTAGAAAGAAGAAAACACTGAAAAAAAAAAAACCACAGAACAGAATATCCAAGAACTGTGGGACAAAAAGGATGTCACATATGTGTAAAGGGAATAACAAAAAGGAGAAAAAGAGAGAAAGGAGCAGAAGCAATATTTGAAGTAACTGAGAATTTCCTTAAATTAGTGTCAGACACCAAACTACAGATCCAGGAAGTTCAGAGAACAGCAAAATAAATGCAAAACAAAAACTACACCTAAACATATCATATTTGAACTTCAGAAAATCAAAGATTAAAGATTTAATTATAGAGGAGCAAAAATAAGAATTAAATTCAACTTCTCCTCAGAAACCATGCAAGCAAGAAGAGAGCAGAGTGAAATATTTAAAGTATTGAGAGAAAAAAAATCACTATCTCAGTCTATTTGGGTTACTCTAACAAAATACATTAGACTGGGCACTTTATAACAATAGAAATGTATTTCACACAGTTCTGGAAGTTGGGAAGTCCAAGATTAAGGTGCTGGCAAATTCTGTGTCTAGTGAAGACCTGTTCCTCATAGATGGCTCCTTCTATGTCCTCACATGCTGGAAAGGGCAAAACAGAAATGAACTTTCTCCCTCAAGCCCTTTTATAAAAACATTATTCCCATTCTGGAGCGTGAAGCCCTCATGACTTAATCATTTCCCAAAAGGCCCACCTCTTATTAACTGTTACATTGATGACTAAGTTTCAACATGAATCCACTATTATAGCTGGAGATTAGAAAACCCCTCTATCAGAAATTGACAGATCCAGGAGGCAGAAAATCAGTAAGAATATAGTTAAACTCAACATCAACAGCAACACAAAAATTAGAGCAGAAATCAAGGAAACTAAATATAAGATATGAATAGAGAAAATCAGTAACATTAAAAATTAGTGCTTTGAAAAGATTAATAAAATTGATGTTTCTAGCCAGGCTAGTGCTTTGAAAAGATTAATAAAACTGATGTTTCTAGCCAGGGTAGGAAAAACAAAGATTCTTATTACTAATATCAGAAATGAAATAGGGGGCCAGGCGCAGTGGCTCACGCCTGTAATCCCAGCACTTTGGGAGGCCTAGGCGGGCGGATCAACTGAGGTCAGGAGTTCAAGATCAGCCTGACCAACATGGTGAAACCCCATCTCTACTAAAAATACAAAAATTAGCCAGGCATGGTGGTGTACGTCTGTAATCACAGCTACTCAGGAGGCTGAGGCAGGAGAATCACTTGAACCAGGGAGGTAGAGGTTACAATGAGCCAAGATGGTGCCACTGCACTCCAGCCTGGATGAAAGAGCGAGACTCTGCCTCAGAAAGAAAAAAGAAAGAAAGAAAGAAAGAAAGAAATGAAATAGGGGATATCACTACAGGTCACATGGACATTGAAAGTATAATAAAGTAATATTATTAACTTCTCTATGTCCACAAATTTGATAACTGAAATGAATCTACTCCTTGAAAGACATAATCTGCCAAAATTCACACAAGAAGAAATAGACAATCTGAATAGGCCTATATGTATTAAAGAAACAAAATAAATAATTAATTAATAACTTTCCTAAACAGAAAGCATCCAGCCAAAATGGGTTCACTGGTTAATTCTAACAAACACATAAGGAAGAAATTATACAAATTTTTCACAATTTCTTTCAGAAGATAGAAGCAGAAGGAATACTTCCAAACTCATTCTATGAGGCTGTCGTCATCCTAATACCAAAACCAGACAAAGACATTACAAGAAAAAAAAAATTGCCTACCAGTATCTCTTATGAACAAAAATCTTCAACAAAATATTAGCATATTGAATCCAATAATACGTAAAAAGAATCATACTCCTTTATCAAGTGGAATGTATTCCAGGTATAGAAAAATAATTCAATATTTGAAAATAAATTGAAGTAATCCATCATATCAACAGGCTAAAGAAGAAGAATCGCATAATCATAGCAACAAATTCAGAGAAAGCATTTGACAAAACTCAACAAATATTCGTGACACAAATTCTCAGCAAACTAGGAATAAGAAGGAACTTCCCAAACTTCATTTTTTAAAAAAAGTCTACAAAAAACCTACAGCTAACATTGCACTTAATGGTGAGAAACTTGAAACTTTCTCACTAAGATCAGAAGCAAAATAAGACTATTACCTCTCACCGTTGCTTTTCAATATGTCACTGGAAGTCTTAGCTAATACAATAAGACAAGAAATGGAAATAAAAGGCATACACATTTGTAAGAAAGAAATAAAATTGTCTTTGTCTGCCAATGACATGATTATCAATGAAGAAAATCTAAAATAATCAGCCAGAAAACTCCTGAAACTCATAAATGATTGTACCATGATTGCAGGATACACCAATGATACAGAAAATCAATCACTTTCCTATAACCAGCAATAATCAAGGAATTTGAAGTTAAAATCATTACATTAATGTTATCATGTACATTAGTGCCAAAACAAATAAAATACTTAGATATAAATCTAACAAAACTATGTACAAGATCTATATGAGAAAAACTACAAAACTCTGTGGAAAGAAATCAAAGAACTGAATAAATGAGAGGTACTCCATGTTCATGAATAAGAAGACTCAAAACTGTCAGAATGTCAGTTCTTCCAAACTTGATCCATAGATTCAACACAGTCCCAATCAAAATTTCAGTGTTATTTCATTTATATAAACAAATTGACCCTAAAATATATATAGAGAGGTAGAAGACCCAGAATAGTCAACTCAGTATTGAAGGGGAAGAACAAAGTCAGAGAACCGACATTATCTTACTTCAAGAATTACTATAAAGCTACAGTAATCAAGATATAGATCCACATAAATATAGTCAACTGATCTTTAATCCGAAAGAGCCAAAGCAATACAATGGAGCAAAGATAGTCAACTCAACAAATGGGCTGAAACCACTGGACATGCAGATGCAAAAATAATTAATCTAGACACAGATCTACATCCTTTACGAAAAATTGTCTCAAAATGGATCACAGATCTAAATGTAAAATTCAAAACTATAAAGCTCCTAGGAGATAACATAGGACAAAATCTTGGGTATAATAATGACTTTTTAGATACAACACTGAAGTCACAATCCATGAAAGAAATAATTGATAAGCTAGAATTCATTAAAATTAAAATTTTCTGCTCTGCAAAATACACTGTCAAGAAAATAAAAAAGGAGACAAACCAGGAGAAAATATTAGCAAAAGGCACATACGATAAAGAACTGTTATCCAAAATATACAAAGAACTCTTAAAACTCAGCAGTAAAAAAAAATATAATTTTAAGAAGGCCAAAGACCTTAACAGACACTTCACCAAAGAAGATATACAGGTGGCAAGTACTCATAGGAAAAGATGCTCACATCATATGTCATCAGGGAAATGCAAATTAAAACAATAATGAGATACCAACCACTACACACCTATTAAAATGGTCAAAATCCAAAACACTGACAACACCAAATGCTTCATTGCTGGTGGGAATGCAAAATGGTACAGCCACTCTGCCACTCTGGAAGGCAGTTTGACAGTTTCTTATAAAACTAAGGCATATTCTTACCATAGAATCCAACAATTGTTCTCCTTGGTATTTACACAAAGGAGTTGAAAACTATGTCCACACAAAAACCTGCACACTGATATTTATAGCAGCTTTGTTCATAATTGCAGACACATAAGTGCAACCAAGATGTTCTTCAGTAGGTGAATAGATGAACTTCTTGGAACATCTAGACAATAGAATACTGTTTGGCACTAAAAAGAAATGAGCTCTCAAGCCATGAAAAAATTTTTAACTCATCTGCATATTACTAAGTGAGAAAAGCCAGTCTGAAAGACTACCTATTGTACAATTTTAACTATATGACATTCTGGAAAAGGCAAAATATGTAAAAAGATCACTGGTTGCCAGGGCTTAGGAAGGAGGGAGGGATGAGTAGGCAAAGACAGAGATTTTTAGGGAGTAAAAGTATTACATATGGTACTACAATGAAGGATATATATCATTGTACGTTTGTCAAAGCCCATAGAATGTATAACACCAAGAGTGAACTATAATGTAAATTGTAGACTTTAGGTGATGATGTAAATATAAGTCATCAATTGTAACAAATATACCACTCTGGTGAGGGATGTTGACAGTCGGGGAGGTTGTGGTGGGTTGAGGAAGAGATCAGGGAGTATGTGGGAACTCTGTACTTTCCACTCAATTTTGCTTTGAACCTAAAGTGTCTCTAAAAATATAAAGCTTATTAATTTAAAGTAAATTTTTAAATAAAAATTTTTAAAACATCCACTAGTAGATGCCAAAATCAATGAGCAAAACTTTGAAAAATGTATTTACATAGTCTCAAAATATGTCCTCCAATTATTTATCAATCACAAAAAATAACTGTTAACCTTATGGTGAAGAAACCCAGCAGATACCACCTTGGGCAACTGGCCATATTTGCCATTTGGTAATAATAATAAGTGATTAAGTAATCAAAGTTAATATTACCAGTAATAAGACATCACCATCACGTACCCACTGACAGTATGCAACGAAGACACAACATCACTTTTATGGTGGTCTCGCCTAAAATGTGTAGTTTATCATGAGAAAACATCAAGCAAAACTAATTTGAAAGACATTCTATGTAATAACTAGTCAGTACTCATTAAAAGTGTTAAGGCTATGAAAGATAGGGAAAATGAGGAAATGTCAAAGATTGGAGAGACTAAGGTTATGTAACTAAATTGGATACTTGAACAGAAAAAAAGGACATTAACGGAAAACCTGGTGAGATTTGAAAAAGTCCATAGTTTAATATTAATTCACCCATATTAATTTCCTGGTTTTGTTAATTGTGTAGTACTACAATTATGTAAGTTGTTGAAGTTAGATGAAGCTGGAGAAGCTGGGTGAAAGAGTATACGTTAATGTACTGTTTTGTAACTTTTCTATGTATTTAAAATTCTTTCAAAGTAAAAAAAAGTTGTTGTTTAAAATAGCTTGTTTGTTATGTTTGTTTTCAGTCCATTATGTTTAAGAGTATCAGTTCTACTGGGTAGGGTTTCTCTGATTATCTTATCCACCATATTCTCAAATTTGAAAGCCAAGACTTAACATTTCAAGACATTTTTATCAGCTTTCTCTCCTAGCCTATTTTGGGATATCCTTCTTTGCCTGCTTTAATTTAAGAACATGTTCTTTTTCTATACGTTATATCTCCTACAGATTCCAACTTAATTTTAGCTTCTGAAGCTTATCCTGCTATTCTTTTATACTCTCTTTCTTTAATTACCTGAATCATAAAATCCAGTTCTGTTAGAATTGAAGCTAGAAGATCAGGATTAGCAATCCAGTTTTAATGTTTACAATTGTATTAGCCCCAAGAAGACATCTAGCCTTTGTGGAAAGTAGATAATAATAATAGTATTACCTAGTCTCACTTCTCCAAAAGTTGTTATAGGAATCAACTCTCTCTTTTCCTCTGGATCCTCCTACATCATACTCTTCAGATTTTACCCCATCCCCCTGATTTTTCTTTCCCAATCTCTTATTACTCAACTCACTGCCTAAAAACAGTATTTCCAAAGGTTCTATCCCCTTTACTTTTTTAAAAAAGAATTGCACATTTTCTTTTCCTTGTCCATTAAGTATCCCCTTCTGACTTTAAGTAATCAATATACTAATGATTCCCATATTTATGTCTACATTCTCAGATCTTTCCCCTCAAGCTCCACCTTTTATATTCAAGCACCATCTGAATATTCAAGCACCCCCATTTGGCTGTATTACAGGCATTTCAAGCAAAACATGTTCTAAACTTAAATTTTTACTGGTCTCAAAAACTTAACTCTCAAGTATTCTAACTGCCTAACATAAGGGATTAATTAATTAAAAAGTTAAAATGCCCACAGAATACAATGCAAAGATTTTAATTAATGCTACAAATGAATATTTACTAATGTGGAATATATTCACACCATATTGTTAATTTATTAAAGCAAGTTAACTGTATGTGCAGTATGCTTTATTTGCAGTACAAATTTGAACACATCTCTTTCCAGATTAATTACCTTAAATGGCTCTCCATAATCTACAAAATAATTCCTGGCCAGAAAAAATTAAAAATTATCTTATAATTAAGACCCTGTTTGTCACTCTGGCCTCCTTTCCCATCACGTGCGTGTGCACACACACACACATACACACACACAGATTTCAGTACTGAAATACCCCCCAAGCACAGCATGTTATTTTATGCTTCCACACATTTGCCTATGCCATCTTCTGTGCTCAAAATAGCTTTTTCCTCTTTGGTCACCTCTGAAGCCCTTCTCAGGACCTATCTGCCCTGGTTTCTCTGATTCTGCTTTCTCCCAGTAGAATTAACGCCTCTTTTTTTGTGCTATCTATCTCTATGCCTTGCCTATACAGCTACTAGTGGATATTCCGTGAATGCTAATTGAACTTAAAATAGCATGGGTTTCTTGAGAGTTTAGAACTGACTGATTCACCAAGAGTTTCTTCTTCCAAAGGGGGCTCCCTACCAGGAGTCACATACTCTTGGTATCTAAATCTTGAATCTAATTCTAAAGTAGGTAAGATTTTCTTAGAACAGGTGTCTGTGTATTAAAATACATAATAAAAGGGGAGCTCCTTATTCCAGACCTTTATAAAAGTCAACAAAAGTATTGGGAATGATGTGACCCAGACTCTGTAATGAAAAGTTTATGGCTTTTACTCTATGTCTTCCATGACTTGAATTTCCCTAAGCCTTATTAACATGTGAACACAAATTAAATCACAAGAACTGCAACAAGTTAATATTCTAGCTTATATCCCCACCAGAATAATACAAGACTTCAGTCCCCCCAACTGTCTTCTGGGATTCCTGGTGGCCAGCTAACATGCATTCCAGACAAGAATAGAGCAGAACAGCATGGTACAAAGAGGTTAGCATCTTAAGCGGGGGAGGGGGAAAGAGAAGAAAAGCAAAGAGGTAATGTCAGAAATACCCTTAGAAGTTTTTTGTATCATCTGCTGCTATGTGTGTTGTTTTGTGTATACAACCTATACACAAATATGCTCACATAAACATTTAATATTTATTGTAATTATGCCACAGGAAGATTATAATCAGAAGCTGTCACTCAAGGATTTCTCTGCTTGGAATACTTCAGCAAAGTAATGCAGATTCTATCCTGTTGGCTCTTGCTGTTCATCATCATCATTCCGTCTTTCACAGATGACTTTATCTGTCCAACAAACTCTTCCTTGGCCCTCAATTAATTACTACTTTTTTTCCTGGAAGGCTTAGAGGACCACCCACTTGCCCACAAGATGTTTGATTTATTTGCCATTGATCAAGGAAACCCTTACATCTTTCTCATATTTTAAAAACATTTTTAAAAATAGGTTTCAAATTTGATTATTGATGATTTGACTGATTCCATCCATTGCCTGTGAGCTTAACCTTATTGAATAGAATGGCAAGCTGTCACTTGCCACTATTTAATTTTCATTTTCTCTCTTTTTTTTTTCACTAATATTTTAAAATCCAACAAAGGTTGGATTTTAAACCTGCATAATGTAACCTTTCTGTTCACTCAGTTTTGGGATCAATCTTCAGCCTCTGGATCCCTCGCCAAGGAACTGGGGATAAGCCCCAACCACTGGGGGATAAGAGAATTCTCTCTCTAATAGTGTAGTCTGGATACTCTCGTAGGGATTCCAAAACATTCTTTTTCTGGGTTTGTTGTATTTTAGGTGTAATTGCTCAAAAGATTGTCTTTGAATTGCCTCTATCAAGTGATTTCTGTAAAAGACTTTGCTTTCCTCAAATAAATTCTGTAAAATCCTGGCCATGGCAGTAAATTCCTAAATCTTCACTTATTCCCAGAGCACAGCATTGTCTCTCAGGGGTGCAAGCTCCAACCCTTTGATGGGAGGAGTCCTTTCCTAAATCAGGAAGAGCGAAAATGGATCCCATTTGGGCAGGGCCTTGAGTCTTCTGATGTTCATCTTTGATCATGCCCAGGGCAGTAGTAGCTGCTCAGAAGTACATTAACAGGGTCACCATCAACTCCCTTCTACCCAGGATCAAGTGGATTATATAAACTCAGTAAGAAGCAGAGTCATCATGCCTGCGTCATGAATATTTTTTTCTTGTATTTAACCCTTTCCCCTTGCCCTCAATCCTCCCCACCAAGCCAACACACACACCCTAGAGTCCCCTACCTTCCTTTAAGGGATGTGCTTTTTCTCTTTCAAGTCCTCATAAAATTTGGAATTTTGTTAAGAAGCTCTTGTTGCACTGTCTACTCCTCTGTGAACTGGTATGGTTTCTTTCTTCACTCCCCCCAAAAAAACTGTTTATTGCTTTCCTTAAAAGCAACTCACATGAAAAAATACTTCCCAGCTGTTATTGCTTTCCAAAATTACTTATTTATATTTTAATTTATAAATATGCTACCATTACTTAATGCCTCTGGGCACATTTGCAAAATTAAAAAAACAATTTTTAAAAAGACAAATGTCATGCAAGCTGTGGTTTTTTAAATAGAAGAAAAAAGAGCATCATCTGCCTGCATTACCCCCCTTCAAGCAAACCTCAAAAGAAACAAATGAGTATTGTACTGTGCCACAAAAGGAATGCAGAATTTTCCTAACGCCCATACCATTAACTAGTTCAAGGGTGCAAAACTTCTAAGGAGAGGAAAGGCGAGACTACCCTGTAAATTCAACAACTGTGGTAAAAGAATTCAGTTTCTCAGTTCTCCCATGTATTCTGTCTCTGAAGCCCAAGTAATATAAATACTATAAACACATATAGTGAACACTTGATAAATAAAAAACTGTTTGCTTTCAATACACATAGCATTCCACTTCCCAACTCCATAACTTTGCCTATGCTGTTCACCATATCTGGCTCCCTGTTGTTTTTTTCTTCAGCCTTGCTTGTGTCCCCTTTTTACCTAAGGAACTGTGTATAGAAACTTTCCTTTCTGTTATCAGTGTTCTTGTGTGTGTTGCATAATCTGTGAAGCAGTGAAATGCATCTAAGTGTTTATTAACCCGTTTTCTGGTTTAAATGTATAAATTAAAAGCTAGAAAATATGAGTTTGGAAAGCACAATTTCAGCGTAAAAATCAAGGTTGCTATGGATTGCATCAGATAAATTCTATAAGAAAGCCATCCAGCAGTTCAGCTGGCTGCAGATAAATACATGTTATCTCTAAGAAAATATATATCTCATAGGAAGAAAAAAGGTGTGCATGTATACGCATTTTTTTCTGTAGACTCTTAGGGGAAAAGTTCAATAGAGTTTAGTAAGAATTTATTGCAGCCTATTATATAATCAGCTCTTGCTAGGAAGAAGGAATAGGAAAAGAAGAAAATGAGATTTCTGCCCTTGAAGAGCTTACAATCCTAGTAGAGAAAGGATATATTGTTCTCTTCATAGAGTACTAAACAGGTATATTTAACCATGGAGGCTGGCTGTGCAACATGCATACACACTCTGAAATATCTCCCCTGAGAGAACAATAGGCGTTCACATAATTTATCATTGAAACCGTGACATCTAAACCCCTTTCAGTGAAAGGGGCCTAATTACCCTAGGACATCAAGGATGGACTAGGACTATCTTGGGAAAACCTAGGTGTATGGTCACCCCTAGCATGGGATCAAGAGTGTGGGCATCACAGTCATGACAAGAGAATGGAGGTTTGTTTTCCTCTGCCCTTTGTTTTCTTTTGCCCTTCTCCTGCTGCTGCTCACTGATTTTCCTTTAAATCTCTTAGTTCATACATTTTTATTGCTAGTCAAGCATGGTTTGACCAAGATTTTTGGACTAGATGATTTCATTGATCTCTAAAACTTGACTGTCACCCTGGTCCAAACAGAAAAGGGGAATGAGTTCACCTAGACCTGCTTCTTCATGAGAGATATGAGCAAGGCATTTTCTCTTAGAAGTGGACTAGTTAAGAACATCACACTTTACTCACAATTGGCAAGAGCATAACACTTTATTCCAGGTACTCAGACATAAAGTCTGTGATCAACATCTTTTCATATCCTTCCTGTCTCATGTGACCCATCATCAGCCAGAGTGCCCTTCATGAAGCAAGAGGTCAATAGCTTTTGGTTGAATGAATGAAGTGGTACCTATGGCTAGAGATAGGAGAATATAGCTTATGAATACTGACCATTGCTATCCTCCCCTACCTCAGAGAAATATTTCCAAAGGAGCAAGTAAATGTACTAGTTTATGTATTATAGTTGGTTTCCCCAGTGCAAATTTTTTTCTGGAGGAATATATCTCAAAATGTTTAATGTAATCAGTGAAAATGTTGGTTTAATATATAGAATCCCATTTTAACTTCAACAGCACATCTGTGCCTCCCTTCACTTAACAAAATCACTTAGCAAATATTTATTCACTTACTATGTCCCAATCACCATTCTAGATACTTGCTGATATAGATGGCAATGAGCAAAACTTCAAAAATGCCTGCCCTTATGGAGCTTACAATTATTCATTCATTCATTAAGAATCACATGGCATGTGCCTGCACTGTGCAATTCACTCTGGTGAATTCATAATAAGTAAGACATGATCCCTGACCTCCAGAAAATTACTTTCTACTGTAGATGCCTTTAAAGAATACCAATAGCTAATTTAAAAGGGAGACTTAGAGGGCTCTAAGAGATGACATAAGCAAAGTGCTATGACAGGGTAGAAAACAAGAATATTCAAGGGTTAACTGTAATAAGGGTTAAAGAGGGCTGCACCAAAGAAATGGCATTCTCACTGTGGACTCACAAACCTACACTACCTATATTAGTTGTAAGCTTCTATAAGTTTTGCAAGCACAAGAAAAAATTTTAATAACAATGAGATAATCAATACCCTTTCCAAGCAGTCTAAATAAGCCTATTGGGGTATAAACTTTTCAAGAAATCAATGTGTATTTTATTTTCCAAACTATCAGTGTTAAGACCTGGGCAGAATACTAACTGGGAAGCTACCACTTACTGAGTGCTTCCCAAGTATCAGGCACTGCTAATATGCACTACATTTAACAGGGCATTTACTCCTTCTGACAACTCCATGAGGTTGGCAACTATTATTATCCGCATTGTACTATGATGAAACTGAGGCACAGATAGGTTAAGTAACTTGTCCAAAGTCACACAGCCAGCAAATAACAGGATTGAGATTCAAACAAACGCTGTCTAGCTCCCAAGTCAGAGTTTTCAACCTCTGTGCCATATTGTCTCTCTGTTACTCTGATGAAAAATAATTTATTCAAAATTATTAATGAGAAATAATGCCTTCACCTTCCAATGAAACACGAATGTGCAATACCACTTAATATCTCAACCTAAAGAAGTAACTGTCATTTTATGGCACTTTAAGTCATTGATGGAAAGATTTGTGAGCCAGAATATGTTTTGATGTCCCTGAAATTACCTACTTATCTCTAGATAAACTGTGTACTTGAAAAAATTAGATACAGAATGGATACACTTGGATGGATATTTTGAGAGAGGGAAAGGTTGAATCCTATAATACTGTCCTGAGGGACCAGGCCTAGGTGGGTTTCACAGTGGAAGATTTTAGTACAAGCAGAACACATTGGAAAGAAAGAAGATTCCAGAGCAGAGATATGGACTATCCAAAGGGGTCTAGAAAAGTGCTGAAAGCAAGTTTAAGCACATCATAATTCTGCCTAATGTCTGCTCTGAATAGATGTAACTCATAAAAATTAGCACATGTTTATATATTATCTTACAGCTCTCCACTCTCTTGGAAGAGTGCACACCTATAATCTCAGCACTTTGGGAAGCGGAGCCAGGTGGATCACCTGGGGTCAGGAGTTCGAGACCAGCCTGGCCAACATGGTGAAACCCCGTCTCTACTAAAAATACAGAAAATTAGCTGGACGTGATGGTGGGCACTTGTAATCTCAGCTACTCGGGAGGCTGAGGCAGGAGAATCACTTGAACCAGGGAGGCGGAGGTTGCAGTGAGCCAAGATCACACCATTGCACCTAGGTGATATGAGTGAAACTCCATCCCAAAAAATTAAAGTGTTATAAAGTAAAATTCAACTTCAAAATATTAAGCATCTGTTCCATCAACCTTTAAGGTGCCTCCTCCCCAGAATCTCCATGAACATCTCTGAGTGGATCTCAGCCTCTCCCCATCTCTTGGAAAGTGAGTGAGGGTATTTGGGTGGCCAAAGTAACTGACAAGCACGATTGGCATATTGAGGAGGCGCCTAGAGGTACAGAGCTTCTTGCAATACACAGGACAGCCCACGTACTACACAGTATAGCTACCTAAAATTTACAAGAGTGACTGCAGTTGAGAAACACCGAAAAGGAAACCTGATTCTACTCAGCTTAAATATTCAGATGTTTTACGTCACTTTACCCTTTTATTTAGTTTTATTTCATTGGCAAAACATTGCATAACTGATAAATGTGTATCATTTCAGTAAACTTTGGTTTAAAACAGATGTTTGTAGGCTGCCTTGACAACCTCACCACAGTGTATAAGATACTTTGGTTCTATTAGAAAATGGGCTCCAAGTTTCAAATAATCAGTTTACCATATCAGGGCCTGCCTATTCTGGCTAATAACTGTTTTCCTCACTCTCTCCCTCTTTGCCTACAGGTCTCAGGCTCTTGAGAAATAGGCATCTGAGTTTATGACTGTGGTTGAGTTGCACTATTTGCTAAATAATCAGGATATTTTATCAGGCTGTATAATCTCTATATATTCTGAGGGATTTTTTTCCTACCCAAGCAGAGATCAGGAGATGGAATGCGAAGCACACCCCTTGACTTGCTACAAGGCTTGAGATTGTGCTTTGATTTCTTTACTTCTAGAGAGTAACAAGACAGTTAGTTCTGGCTACTTTCTCTGTAAGCTGTTTCTCTGCTGTGAATGGGTTTATTTTCTGCTCTAAGTACTCTTATTTCCAACTGCTTTACATTTTATATTGGCTCCAGAAACTGCTGCTGTGAAGAACTGAAAGCGAAGTTAAATTCAGGATTGCCTATTTTTGTACAGCCAGACTCTCCTCTAGCTTTTGTCCCCTTTCAGCATGACCTAATATGACATTTTTCAGTTTTTCCTAATTGTTTCCTTTCCTTTGATCCCACAAAACGTTAAATAAAATTTCAGGATCCATGTTCAAGATTGAAGAACCATACATTCCAGATTTCCATGCATACCTGAAGGTGAGGGTTCCCTCTGCTGGTAGGGAAATGTTCCAAGAACTGATGCTTGACTGTCCATCATGGGAGAGTGACCCGGGATATGGTGGGACAGGAGACAGGTCACTGGTAGGAAAATTCCCTGTGGGGATGCTCCAGGAGGAGCTCTTGAAAAATGAGTGCGAAGGAAGCTTCTCTAAGGTTTACCAGGCACCATCAACACTCCAGAGAATCAGAGCAACAGATTATTTGACTGCTGGCCTGTGATTACCAGTGAGTCTCTACCAAAGAGTTACACGGTTGGCTTCAGGCCGAGCCCATTATCCTTTTATCATTTATGGTTTCCTTGAGCATCAGATATTAGTTCATTCATCTGGAAAAGGAAAGAAGTCAGTTTTAGGTTTTCCTTTCCTCAAAAGATTAATAGGACTATTAATAGGAACAATAACTTCTTCAATGCCTCTTCCTCTATGAAAGCCCACCCTAGTCTGAGACTAAATCACACAGGGCCTGGAATGTACCATATTTAAGGTCATAAATGTCTTCTCACATTCCTTGTTAGTTGACTTTGTCCTTAAGAATGGTGTCATTATCTCAATTTCCTATTTTCTTATAGTCACTGCCCTAGTTTAGACTTGTCTGCTGTCCCCCAGAATTCCTGCAATCACCTCCCACCTCCAGTCTTCTCACTCAAATACATCCTCTAAAGTGTTATCAAGGTTCTCTCTCTCAACCACAGAACTGCCCTTGCCACTTTCTATTTAAAACCGTACAACAGCTCCCCATTACCCACAGGATGAAATCCAGGCTTCTTCATGCCTTTCCTCTGCATTCCCCCCCCTGCTCAAAATGCAGCAAGATAGTACTTTTGGAGTTTCCTGCTCTTCCTCCTGCTTCTAACCTCTGCACCTGTGTTCAAGCTGTGTGCTAAGCCTAGAATGCCCTTCTCGGGCTTATGCTCCCTTTGCTTGGCTAACTCCTACTCATCATTTTAAGCTGACCTAGGTGCCCCTCCCTGAATACCACCAACCCTCTCAGCTGCATTAGTACATATATTGATTTATCCACTTTACTTATTGTTATATAATTATATTTCCTCCCTCATTAGACCTTAATGATAGGAATGGCTGACTCGTCTTAGTATCCTCATCTTTGTGGAACAGAGAAACTCATGAAATATGCAAATACAAGTCCAGTACTCATATGTATTTACATCTCTTCCTAGATCCATATGGCCCTATCAGGACCCAACAACAAACAACAACAGTAATACTACTATTACTATTTGTAACAGCAGCCAATCAATATTTACTGAGCACTTAGCTATGAACATGGTAAGACAATCTTCTTCATTCCAGACAGCAAATGGGGTCCAGACATTAAAGACACCACTTACAAACCCATACCTAAAAAGCAAAATACAGATAACCCTGGATTGTTCCCAATATAGCCAGAGAGTATCACTGTCCCTATTAAACACAAGCCTGGCAGGTTGTGGCCAGGTAAGACCTCCTTTCCATTATTAAATCCAGACTAGCAATGGCTGAGATTTTTAAACCAGAAGTTCCCATGCTACCTCCCTCCAAAAACTCTTCAATTGTCCCTTGCATCTATAGAATAAAGTTTAAATTCATCTGCCTGAAATCCAAGGTTTATCATAATCTGTCCCTAACATAATTTTCTAGCGTTTCCCCCCTTTCTTCCTCTACACAAACCCTCTGCTTCTCCTGAGATTCTGCATTAATACCTCTACTTTCAATTCCCTAGCATGTGATATGTCCCTGCTCCCCAACCAAATAAAAAACCTGCTACCTTTTCTTCATTACTATTTAAAAATAATGCTAGCCATTCTTCAGGTCTCAGCACTGAAAATTCCATTACAGTAAAAAAGTAATCGTTTTCCTCTTTAAAATTCTATAGCACTTATGATCTGTACTTCTTAGTTAACATAAGGTACTTAACATTTGCAAGGTTCTTTGTGGATATAAAATGCCTGATATTTTGGCATGTCAAATATGCTAAATATGGATGTCATATTGATAGCCCAATTGGAAGCTCATAGAGATCGGCATCATGTCTTCATACTTCTGCATGTTGCCATGACTCCAAATCTTGCCTATTATAATAAAACAAGAAACATTTGCTGATTTTTGGGCTCCACACAGAAAAAGAAATCAAAAATAAAACAAAACTTCATAAAAATATCTGAAATGAGTTCTATTTATCCATTCCTCTTCAATCAGGCATATATTTGCTATAGATTTAATAACACCTCTCTTGACACAGCCAGAAAAGAAAAAATTGACCATGTCATATTAATAAGCCAGAACTAAGAATAGGACATGTCTGCTAGTGAGACAAGCATGCATGGGGGATAAGGGAGGAGGACCAGGCATCACCAGGCAATAGCATTACACACAGTTGAATCAACCACAGTGAATATAGTTTTTAGAGAGGACACCAACAGTCAACAGCTTGACATGAAATTAGCCTCAGGCGTCCCATATATCTAGTTGAATCCTAACTCTGCCATCTACTTTTTGGAAAATTAACTTCCTTAAACCTCAGCTTCTTCAAGTTATAGCTTGATTTTAGGAATTAAATGAGATGTAAAAGCACTTGCTATGTACATGATAAGCTCTCAGTAAATATCAGCTGCTGTTACAAATAGCAGTAGTAGTACCGTTGTTTTTTGTTGTTACCAATTGAGAATCTAGGAACAGGCAATATTTGAAATTTCAGACTAGCAGGAAGGCAGTAAACCTCAAGAAAAATTCCCATCAATTACTTGATAGTCTTGCAGGAGCATGGCTAGAACTCCAATAATCATCAGAATCTGGAATTATAATCAAGGCAGGAACCTATAAACTTGATTTGGGCTGCAATAGGTAGAGACTCAGTCTCAGGAAAAAATTCCAGATATTAGAATCAGGCAATTAGGCATAGAAGAAGGCTTGTTACAAAAGTCCAGAGACCGAAAAACTTCTTCAGTGACCACCAACTACTGAAACTCCTGAACCCAGAGCATTATCAAAGCTGAGTCTCCTTATGAATGATTGTCAAATGACTAGGGGCAGGCAGTAAGGGGGAAGGAAGATGGATAACCGAAGGAAAGCCCAAACACAGCAGATATGAATTACTGATCACTTAAATAGGCAAAGTGTTTATTAAAAATTTACTGAGCAACAACTATTACCAGATGTTGTAGGAGGCACTGTAATGGTAGGCTCCTGTAGCTTACAGTCTAGATCAGCGTCGTCAGATAGAACTTCCAGAGATGATGAAGATATCCTGTGCCATTGAGGATGGTATCCACTAGCCACATGGGGCTACCGAGCACCTGAAATGTGCTTGTGTACCCAAGAAACTAAATTAAAAATTTTAATTTTAATTCATTTAAATATAAATAACCACAGATGGCTAGTTGTTCCCATATTGGACAGCACAGGACTAGAGAAAGGAGGCAATAAGCAAGTAAACACAGGTAATGACAAAATGTGAAGCTTATTTAGAAAAAGGACAAGGTTCTGGTTTAGGAATAGCAGGGCGGGGCCAGGGGGTGGGGGTGGGGCCTTGACTGGAGGGTTATGGAAAATGTGTTGAAGAGGAAAACAGCCTGTTAAGAATTGTAGGCTACCATAGGAGGTTGGGTTTTGAGATAATTTTCCTTTACGTTTTTGGAAAGAACATTGTGACTGGCTGCTGTGTGGAAAATATGTGAGCCTAGATAAAGATGCTTTGTGTGTGTGTGTGTGAGTGTGTGTGTTTGTGTGTGTGTGTTGGCTTGAATGAATTTACTAGTTCCACTCTTCTCCCCATAAGAACATCATCTTTAATATTAGTGTGTATTTATAGTCAAAAGAAAAATACACTCTGCAACAATATTAATTTATCTAAAATTAACAACGTATATACATATGTTCTTGAGCTTTTTTAAGTATAGGAGAAAGGAAACAACCTCCTAAACATATCAATAATACAAAAGAATTCTGTAGTTAGATCTCATACACATACCTCTAAGAAGTACCTATACAATTACATACATGAAATAGGTGCATATAAAGATCACAGATTATTCATAGACTCTTGAGAGAGTTCATTTTCCAATTGTAGAAGGAAGAAAAGGAGAAACTTAAATAAATTGGAAAAGCAACCACAAAACTGACTCATGGCAAAAAAAAAAAAAGAGAGGTCACTTGGAGAAAGATGGAAGCAACTGGGGTTAATTAATTAACATAGGGAAAAGAAGATTAATAAATTATTGTGAGGATATTTAGACTTCTATTCAGAGAATACGGTGTAGTTGGGTTGCATTAACACTGGAGAGAGAACTAAAGCCAGCAGACTAAAACTGCAGAAGATGCTATTTATGGCTCTGAAACTCTGGAATCAGTGAGGAGAGCAGAGCAATGTCCTTCTGTGGAGGTCTTTAAAACGGAATAGATTCTCATCAGTCTCATTTGAAAGGTTTAAGTGTGATCCTGCCTAAAGGCAAGGTGATGAACGGAATGACTTTTCAAGGTCTCAGCCAGTCAGCCCAATGAGACCACACAGCTGATTGTGTGCTGTGATTTTTTTTTGTTTACCCATATCTTATTGTTTTACACCACCATGTGGCCACACTGAGTAGAAATGTTATAAATTTTGAATCTGAACATAGGCCTTGAGAAATGTCAGTAGTATTTTCTCATACTCTTAGAATTGCACAGTCTTAGAAATATCCAATCTGTAAAAGCACCTAACATAAATGTGCTTGTACTCATAATCCTTTTGTGATATTAATTACAAATAAATAAATAAAACTGGAAAATAAAACTGGTACCTATTTGATGAATAATAACATGTCACATTATTTTATTGTGCATTTGCCATTCTATAGGAACAAAATTTGATTCACAATAAGCTGAGTTCATAACATAAAAAACATTTTATTTTATATGTGTAGATACTTAAAAACCAGATTCTGGCCCTTTTATACTTAACATATGTATTAAGTAAACAAAATGTGAACATTTCCTTGCAGGGAAGCAATAACTGCTGACATATGACTGAAGGCATCATGTAAAAAATAATTTTAGATACAACACATTAGGCCAATGTGTTTCCCAATACCTTTCCTCTTCAATTTATGCCATAAATACATCAGCATCCATTAGCATTCATTAAGCTCTCATATGAGCTAAATTTTGCATTGGACAAATTAGACTGACAAAGCCCATTCTGTCACTCCATTACCATGCCACTTTCACTACAAAAGCATTCTCTTAAATATGGACAGTGAGATAGCTCTAAGGCCAGACTGCTTCTGCTAGAATCCTAGTAAGCTATGTAATTCTGTTAGTCTCAGGCTCTTTGTAACATCGAATTTATTTTTTTGAATTTATATAAATAAATAAGATAATGTGTAGTTGTTAATTCAACAAATATTTATTGTGTGACTACCATGCCAGGCACCATTCTAGGCACAGGGGATACAGCAGTGAATAAAACAGACAAAAATCTCTGCCCTTGGGGACCTTATATTCCAGTAGAGCCAGATAGTGAGTATTTTTGGCTTTGTGAAACATAGGATTTCTTTGTAACTGCTCACCTCTGCCATTGTTGCACAAAAGCAGTCATAGACAGTGTGTAAGCAGTGCACAAATGAATGAGCATTGCTGTGTTCCGTTAACACGTTATTTATAAACACAGGGAGCAGACCAGATGGGACCCACAGACCATAATATGCTGACCCTGCAGTAAGGGAAGACAGCAATAAACACCACCAAAACTAATACAAACAAAATAAACTTTATGTTGAATGGTGATAAGTAGTATGGAAAAAGTACAAGTGAGGGTATGGATAGTGTTGGAATCTGGTCAGGGTAGTTCTCACTGAGAAAATGACACATACAAAGACCGAAGGAGGTGAGCAAGAGAGTCATAAGAATGTCTAGGGAAAGAGCATTTCAGGAGAAGGACTGTCATGTGCAAAATCCCAGAAGCAACAGTATGGCCATTCTTTGTGAGGGACAGCAGGATGGACCCTGTCAGGAGCAGAGTGAGCTAAGAAGGTAGTTGAAAATGAGGTCAGAGAAGCAACATGTGTCCAGATGATATAGGACTTAAACGCCACTATAAAGAGGTTAGTTTTTCACTCTGAGAGAGACAGGAAGCTTTGCAGTTTTAAGCACAGGAGTGACCTGCTCTAGCATCCTAATTTTAATGGGATCACTCTGACTATTGTGTTGAGAATAAACCGATGGAGAAGCAGGGAGCCCAGTTTGGAGGCCGTTGCAGTAATCCAGGTGAGAGATTATGGACCAGATGATAATGCTGGGAAGATAACTGCAAGGGAGGATGAAAACAGCAACGAGAAAGATAGGAGGAAAACCAGAAATAATGGCACAGTGGAAGCCAAGTGGGAGAGTGTACACTAGATGACAGCATGAGCTATTGTATGACTTGCGCCTGAGAATGTATAGAAAATGAAGACTGAAAATTGAACCATTACATTAGGCAATACGGAAACTATTAGTGGTACTGACAAGAGCAGTTTCAGTGACGTGGTGGGAATGATAGCCCTGCTGGAATGAGTCGCAGAGACAACAGGAAGAGAAAAATTAGAAGTAGAGAATGCACACGGCTTTTTCAAGAGTGCGAGGTTTTCCAGTTTGCTTTTTAATAGTGAAGGGAAGAATTCAGGTGATAATTGGAATGGAGGACATGGAGCAAGAGAAGCTTTTGGGGTATTTTGTTTTGTTTTTAAAAGGAAGAAACAACAGCATTTGTGTATGCTGGCAGAAAAGCTCCAGGAGAAAATGAGAAATGGAAAGAGAGAAAAGAAACTAGAAGAGTGAGATACTTGGCGGAGCAGTTTCCATGATTAGGCGCGATTGGATGAGATCTAGTGCAGAAGTGGGTGGGTCAGGTTTACACTCTGCTCCATAAAGTGCTTAACATGGTGCTTATCACTTCATAAAGGCTCAAAATTAGCAGATGTTAAGCCGCCGATCGTCAGTTAAAAGGGTTTGCCTAACATGATCTTATAGCTCCATTGCAGGTACAACATTCAGTACATTAATGAAAATAAGATGAACAGAATCATGACAATGAAATGAAAATAGTCGGAAGCAACATTGAATCACATTGACTAGCACCTAGATATTGTTCTAATGGTAGAGAGATACCTGAAGGAGAATAGAAAGAATGATGGGTTACTGTTTACATTTGATTCATGGGATGAGTCTGCCGGAACCAGGATCTCACATGGTACTTGACTCCTTATGGATGCTCAATGGGTTGATCAATTAATTATCTTGCCTTTTATAAATTCAGCACGATGAAAAGCCCATGGCTCTTCCCTCACAAATATTGCATGACATAATGTTATTTCCATGCACTTTTCATATCATTTCACTAAGTTTCACTGATTCATGAGGGCTGAGCAGTAGGGCAGAGTTACAATAGAGAACCAGACAAAGGAAGGCAGGTAGTAAAAGCACAGCT
This sequence comes from Homo sapiens, assembly GCF_000001405.40. NCBI lineage: Eukaryota > Metazoa > Chordata > Mammalia > Primates > Hominidae > Homo > Homo sapiens. Next base: position 172,980,026 of record NC_000003.12, on the reverse strand, counting down.
GCCATTTCCACTGGGAAGAAAAAGGGGCTTGGAGCAACTACAATCTGAATTGTGTTCCAAACATGAACACACCTCTATGAATACATGCCAGGTATCGAAAGAAATACATCATACTTATGAAATATATCTCAGCTAATATGGAGCTTTAGGAAATCATTTTTTGTTATTTAATTTTAATATCCTTTTGCTCTTATAATACTTATGCTTCACTGAGGTATGGCAGGTAAGGAATTTCAATGCATCTTAATTCTTCATGGTTTCAATATCAATTTGGAGAGCTGTGTTCCTTTAAAAAAAAGACTTGAGCCCCCAGGTGAAAAAGCACACTTAAGAATGTAGCAAACAATGCGACAATATATTATTACAGAAAAAGCAACTTTGGCATAACATTAATAAAAGCGCTAAAAATTCTAATTTTACAATGGTGAACACAAAACCAAATTACCAAAAGCATTAAAAAATCAGGAAAGCCTTAGAAACCCACTGGGGTGATCTACCTCCTTCTCTTTCACAATAGTCGTAATCCAAAAATGACAATAACTAACATTATAAAAATTCTTATCAATTTAGCTTTTACTTGACTCAAGCCACTGTGTCTATGATCCAGAATTATCTTTTACATTTTTTGCATGTTTCAAGTTGTCAAGTTTAGTTACTGGACTCTGCTCAGTAATATTAGTGCATGTTATGTTGTCCCTTGAAGAGAAAATAGCAGATTGAAATATCCAAGGGGCACTGTGGCTGGAATATGTACACACTGGCATTGGACTATTTTTTTTTTTCTTTTTTTGAGACAGAGTCTTGCTCTGTTGCCCAGGCTGGAGTGCAGTGGCGCGATCTCGGCTCACTGCAAGCTCCGCCTCCTGGGTTCACGGCATCCTCCTGCCTCAGCCTCCCGAGTAGCTGGGACTACAGGCGCCCGCCGCCACACGTGGCTAATTTTTTGTATTTTTAGTAGAGATGGGGTTTCACCGTGTTAGCCAGGATGGTCTCGATCTCCTGACCTCATGATCCGCCGACCTCGGCCTCCCAAAGTGCTGGGATTACAGGCATGAGCCAACGCGCCCGGCCAGCATCAGACTATTGATTGACAATTATATAAATGCCCACCATGGCTTGATCAACCTACTAATTTTCTTATTTTAGAGTTAAACTAACCCAATCTGTTTTTTGTAAATAAAATCTTATTGGAAGACAGCCACGCTAATTGGTTTATGTATTGTCTATAGCTGCTTCTGCAAAGCAAAGTTGAGTAGTTGTTAAACCACATGGCCCACAAAACTTAAAATAGTTACTATCGACCCTTTACAGGAAAAGTTTGCCCACCCTTGATTTAACTAATGGCTGGTATACTTCTTAAGCAATGTTTGTTGAACCATATTTGTAAATCCAAATGTTAATGGTAGAAGCAATCAGAGTGCAGACCAAATTGTCACCTAAGTGTACCCAACTCCTATAAATATAGGGCGTGTTGTCCTTGAAAGTAAAATTTCTATATTTTCCATCGATTTCTTAAATTCAGAATTTATTAAATGAATTTCTATTAAATAACAGGCACCTCCATGTCGAGTAAACTTTCTTTTTAGGTTGTTATGAAAAGAAAATGTTTCCATGTGCTTCTATCAAAATGCAAACATTTGAAATGCACTTTTGTCCCTCTACAATCTATGATTTTTATAACTTGTTTCTGTCCCATTCATATTCACACAACATCAAAACCTCCTACCTCTCTTTACCTTATCATTAAGAGCTTTGAAAAATATAAAAGGATTCTTAAATTAGCTATTCTTAAATTACTGTCATTTATTTTGAAATGTCAGTGGGCAGCTTCTTTCCAATACTACCTGTGTTTATATATATATATAGAGAGAGAGAGAGAGAGAGAGAGGGAGAGAGAGAGAGAGAGCTGAATAATCCTCCAGTTGGTGGTATTTGTTTCCACCATTGATTTTTTAGAGTCCTAATTTTTGTCTGTCCTGAAGAAGAATCTAAACATTTAAATTATTTCAACAGAGTAAGTTTATAACTGCTATGACTTATACAACTTATATTTAGAAAAGGAAATTTTCTAATTCAATTTACAATGATGTCAAGAAACTACACATATCTGCAGGCAAAGATAAGAAAAACATTCAGGGGTACACAGTCATAGCTCTACTTAAGTAAATAAACTTTTGGTACTAGTGATTAGGTACACAGGATTATTATATGTTTAATTGGCTAACGTGACAATTTGGAATTACTTCTAGTCACATTTAATTGGATTTGGAATCTCTGGAGAAAGAAATAGAGAGACCTAGCAGAGAAATAGTCATAAAAGTAAACTGTTTTTCCAAAGGGTACTAAGTAATGAATTAATATCCATTGCACAATAGTTTTTAATATCCCCTCAACTTAATAAGATTAATGCAGAAAGTCTACACACTAGACATTAAAATCAATTCAATTACACAAAAATCTGTGGGGAGAGGATTCTTCCTTGAATTGGAGATTTTTTTATTTTCTGTTTTCAGGAGACTATTAAGAGGTGAATAATACTTAACTCAGGTAAAGTCTGAGATATGCTTAAATACCAATCTAATAGTTAGCTATATACGCTATGCTAGGTTTGAAGAGCTAAAAGTTCCTAAAATCTGTGTCACTCTGTAAGGGCTTTGAAGCTTAATATAGGCCAACCAAAACAAAACATTCTCTCATAATCTTTAAATATTCTTATACTGTACAAATTTAAAAAGCACCTAGAAGACAAATAGCTTATTGCTTCTCTTTTATAGTTTTGGTTTATCTACCTCCCCAAAAAAATCCCTACTTTCAACACTCTAAAATGTGCTTTGTGTTTTGCTTAATATTAGTCTAGACAAATTTATACATTAAAAATCATCTTCCTCAGTATTTGTATATAGTGCCTGTTATGGTTTTCCTTCTGTCCTATACATTTGTTTTTGTTTTTTTTTTAATCTGTCCTTGTTCTTAGGAGTGCCATGATTGCTGACTACATGTTCTGGCTTGGTGGAGGAAGGGAAGAGAGCATAAGCAAGCTCATCAAACTGTATTGGCAGGTAAAAATTGATGTCCCAACTAGGGAGGAGAAACCCATCTCATTTTTAGAGCCAAAATGAAAGATTGGTGCTTAAAAGACTGAAGAAAAAGGTAGCTCTGGGCATATCAATCAGAAAGAAGGTACTGAATAATAATGTATTCATAACGAAGTAGATTTTCTAAGACTAATTCTAGGGGCAAAATTCAAGGTTGTTAACCCATGGCCCATACTTCAGTTTTACAACTCAATATAAATTTTAGAGATCCCAGGAACTACTTTTCCAGGCGTGCTACTATAATATTAGGATTATTTAAAATATGAACATTGTATTTTCATAGATTCTTACTGATCTACAGCCTGTAAAAACAGATGCTAGAAGTAATATTAATTACATAATAAAGGAAAAATGCAAAGATCAGATGTATTTGTTTACTATTTACTATTTGAAACACTTAACCAATATCAAATTGCAGATCTTGTTTCTCATTTATTATTCAAAATGGCAGCAAGAAGTCATACCAAAGGTCAATCAGCTGCCAAGAAGAAATTCATAATTTCTTAAACGTATAAGAAGAATTTTGGATTTATTAGTTCAATCTCATTTATAAGACATGAATCTGTTCTTACTTTACCCTCCCCCAACAAGCTGTCAATAAGTTTCTGCTGACATATATCCAAAATGAAGAGCTCACTTAACCCCCACAAAAATAACATCCAGTTTGCTAACTATTAAACTGTTTTCCTCATTTAAATTGAATTTCTACTCCCTTAAAACTTCCATCCCATTGTTTCTGATGAGTCCACATGAACCACATGAAACCCATTTCCAATGAAATTGTTATAAATATGTGAAAATCAACTACAAAAGCCAACTTTCTCCTCCATGTTTTCTCTTCTCCAGACTGTGTGGAGCTTTTTCCTTGTATTTCAAGATGTTTTAATTTAATTGAATACGAACCTTTTGAACCAACCAGAATAAGATGTTCTAAGCCACTAACTGTAAAGTAAGAAATAATCATCAACAGCCTTCTGAAGCTTCCTGTTTTTTTCCTGTTTTTTTTCCCCCCACATTTTCACTACCATGTCTTGGACCCTAGTTTTTTGTCTCTCTATATTATATGTTATCTTTGTTAGATATTAAAGTGTCAGGTTTATCATACACAATTTCCAGCAATGCACATGGTTCTATCTGGAGATCAATTTACCTTCTATTAAAAAAAAATTTAAATTAGTCACATTATACTTCAGTTCTGTGATTATTTTAAAATGAAAAAACAAATGTTGATCTCCAGGTAGACAAACCTTTAAACCCAAAACAACCTATTACTTCTCTGATAATTTTAAGACCTTCCTAAGATAATCTGGAACATACAAACAGCAGTAATGGCTGATGAACATGTAACTAAATAGTCGTTTAAAAATGCCAGATGGGAAAAATAAGCAAATAATATGGGCTATAGCTATACAAAGAGGACTTTTTTATAAGGATTTCAGAGGCTTTTATAAAGGATTTAAGAGAGGTGGGAAAGGAGTTGTGAATCTTAAGGATTGGAAAATATTCAGCAGGCCTGGCATATACTAGGTCCCCAGCGAATGCTTGACTTAATTTAATTATTCATTAAACAAATGTATATGAGTACCTATCCTGTTTTCTACATTGAACTAAGAAAATAATAGATCCAATGTCAGCATAACCTAAGACAAAGTAAGACCTTGGAAGTTTCGTAAATAAAAATTTTGTCTGACCATGTTGTGGTTCACAAGCATGATAACTCTGTTTTTACGCTCACATGTGAGACATGCCTCCTTCCAATCTTGTTATGTCAGCACATTATCCATCTGATGCGAAAAAATTTTTCTGTTTCCTTTAGCTTTCAGAGAGCATTAATATCCCTATTTTATTTACCTCAGACTAAGAAAATAATCTCCACTTACCAAATGCATGCATGTTTGTGATATAAAAAGAAATAAAATGAATATTTTACTATTATGCATTAATAAAAGATAAAAAATAGTTCTTTTTGTATTCCCTGTTTCTTGATTGGATGTAACCTGGCATAAAGGAAAAGAGCTCTTGTCTAGAAGTCAGGTCTGATTTGGCGTAAGTTCTAATACTAACTAGATATTGAACTTAGGGCAAGTTAGTCTGTAGCGAGCTTCAACTGGAAAGTGAGGATGGCTAGAATAAAGTGTTTGAGAAGGTTTATTCTTAAAGCCCATTTTAGCACTAAAATCTTACCCAAAATCTTAGGCATATCCAAAATGATGTCACCAATTTTGAGGGAAAAAGAAGCAATATAATTAGAAATCACTTCCTGCAGATAAATTCTATAAATTAACACCCTCTATCAAGCCCCAACATCAGCACACCAAACCATTCACTCACCCATTATATACTTCCTGCTGCTAACCAGCTTCTCCTTGATCTTGATTCAAATGTATACATTCGAATCCCTAAACCTTGTTCTGTCCTAAATCAGAAGGGGGTTTTAAACCCTGCCAGAGAGTGCCAAGTCTATGCCATCTTTAAAGATACATATGCCCCACTACCCAATCCACCCTAGCAATTTCACTGATGACTTCAAGAATGTCCCCAAACATCACAGACTAGAGACTGTATTTTCATGCACTTTTATAGGCATCCATTAAGGTTAAATAGATAGACACTATTTTCACCACCTTTGCCAGAAGTTACTATACTGTATATCTTCCTTTTCAACCCTATAAAATCCATACCATTTTAGTTGGTTATTCTTCTTAACAGGAAATGGAAAATTTCAGAATGTAAAAATTTGAGAACACGTCTATATTTACTCTTATACATGGTTGACTTACAAACTCTCAGATGCAGAAGAATGGACCTTTGCTTTGGTGAACTCAAGAACCTTTCAATTGCATTAGGAACATTTTTCATATCATCAACCCAGCAAGGAAAAGAAAGGCATAAAGCACTATACTATATGACAGCTCACACTGGGATATATCACTTTGAATAAGTGTTTGCACATGTTATTCTATAATAGTGTCACCTCTTCAGAGCTAGAGAGGGTTGAAAATAACTTGTCATGACTGTACTTGCACACAATGCCTCTGCAACCCGACATCCAGGCATCTGTAATCAGCCATTCTCCTTGAGAACACCTGGAGACCTCACCACAATCCTGAAGTAATTAGCAAAATAGAAAGTACCAAGTCAGGCTTAGACTAAGCTATTTTTGAAATAGCTGCCCTATCGTATTTATATATTGGTCCTACACTAATTTTATTACAAGAACTTTATATTAAAATCTAGTCCACCTCTCCCTGCTCCTTACTACATCCAGGGCTAGTTTTAATAACATGAGGAAAACAAGCAAGCAAGCTTCCTCCATCTTCCACTCTCCTGTCCTGTCCTGCTGCATTCACTTTCAGCCACATTCTGAGGCACAAAAGTTTTCATGTGTGTGTCTTTAACTCATGTAATGTGAATAACAGAGCCAACCCTGGTCTGCGGTGCTCAGCAAAGTGAAGTGAGAAAAGGTAACAGCTAATTGTATCACAGAACTCCCACAAAACAAGTGCAGAGGAACCCCACTAAACAGGGGCATGCTGCCTGATCAGCTCATCCCCTACCTTAATGGTTCTTTTTTTATTTTTATGTTTTTGAGCTATAGACCCCTCTGAGAATCTAATTCATTTACAAGCATCCACCTAGAACAATAGTCATAAACACACACACACATGAAATATATGCTTACTTTTTATCTGATTGAATTGGAAATTGATCTCCTATACACAGTCAGAATACCAGAACAGCATTTACAGAAAATTATGGTTTTCTCACTCTTGTGAAAAGTCTTTTGTAGCTTTTCTAGATCAAGGAATTGAAATATTTCATATTGCATCAATTTCAACATTTCATTTTAATGTCAATAACGGGTAAAATCCTGATTCACAAAGTCTCTACTAGCAAATGGAGTTAGAGCTCCAATACTACACAATATCTCAGATGGGTCAGCATGAATCAACAATTACCAAAATTTTCAACTAAAATTTATAATACGTCATTTCCTTTGTCCTCAAGTAAATGAGGTCATCTTTGTTAGGCTTATATCATCAACGCTATCTATGTCGGCAATTTGTTTCCATTTTAAGGCTGTCTGAACAAAAAGTGACCTTCATAAGAGATAAGCCACTTGCCAAGTGTCTGTACATTTTTGTCCCCAAAAACTCTCAAGTCTTCGTCAGTCTCACCTTCAGTGTTGGAAAATCCATATTGTTATTTGACTTCGGTCACCTCATTTAGAGTAGCTGCTTGGCCAAAAAAAAAGCTTATAGTTTTTCAGCAGGATCTCTAATAGTAACTTCAGCATTTTCAATCAAAAGATTTGTTTAATTTATGTGCCTAAGGTATCAGCCATTACAAAGCTAGTCCTGGAATTTCTCACCATCAAATTATTCTAAGAAGGAGTTTTCTTTTCTCTTAAAAAATTGTAAAGAATTAACCAAACTAAATCACATCTAAATCTCTTCTCTGGATTGTCAACAAACTTCTCTAAAAGGAAAGAACCTCATGGTGTGCTCTTGTATCTTGACAAAGATCTACTGAAAAGGCACTAATTCAAGCTCTTGGCTCCAAAGAAGCTGAAGACTTTCACAGCAGTAGAAAGACCTCTTTTGAGATTGTTGGAAGAGCTGTTGACACCAACACAGGCCCGTGTAGAAAGCATGACATGTGGAGCATCTTTCTTCAGTGAAGCAGCAGAGGCTGAGGCAGTGCCAGCTTCACAGGTCTTCCATCTGTGCAGAGAACACCAAGACTTCCCATCCAATTCAAGTTGCACTTGGCATTGAAATGTTTCCCATCTCAAAGCTATCAATGGCCTATATGGTTTCCAAAGGCAGCTTACCAAAAAGAAATATCTCTTTGGTGTGATTAGTCCTACTCTCAAGGGACAAAACTGGGAGCTGGCTGAACTGAGAGACAAAAAAGATTTTCCACAGCCACATGCTCAAAGACGGCCCATAGTTTGTGGGCCCCTAACGCCTTTCTATGGACTTCAGGGTTCACAGACCACAGGCTAAGACTCTTTTACAACTCCTTCTCTTTACATGATTGTCACTATTGCAACAACCCCTTTTCTTTTTGCTATTAGGCCTACCAGGAGGCATTTACTGCTTCTAACATTCAAAGCAAAAAATAGCACCCACAATGTTATTGTCATGAGTGACTCCATAAACTGCACCATGGTCATTCAAGCTTGAAACCTTGGCAATAGTGTCCAGAGTCTTCTTAAGTTAGTGGATACCTTTATTATTTATGCTCAAATTGTATTTGTCATTCATACTCATTCAACAAATACTTACTTAGTGACTGTATGTAAGGCACTGTGCTACATGTTGGAGATACAGGAGTGAACAAAATAGACATTGCCTGTCTTCAAGGAGCATATATTCTAGCGCAAACTATTACCAGGAAAAGCTACAGACTATAAGGTACTTAAATTGTATACCACCTCTAGTTAATCTGCTTTCAAAATGCACCACCATCAAAATGCATTGCAAAAAGCAGCTTGATACAGATTTGTTAAATCAATCAATCAAATTAAATATTGGTTTGACATGAAGCTCAGACCAATAACATTTGACATGAGAATATTTTGGCATAGTTGTTTTACAATTTTAAAAACCAGTGATTATGAATCCAATGAACATTTTGCTAGGTATGTGCGCATGTGTTCCAAGTTCACAATTGTAAACAACTTTTGTGCTTCAGTTGAGTTTGGGATCAATAGAATTTTTGAAGAAAGTTGCAGGTTTCCAATAGATCTTTTAGGCTCATTAATTTCTGTGCTCAGAGGTGTCTTCATGGAAGTTCCAAGTTCTTAGCCTCCTAACTGCTTCTTTCAAACATGACAATCAAGGGAGCAGCAAGTGAATAGATTTCTCTAAACAGACCAGAGAATCATGTACAATAAATTAACACTGAACATGACTTGATTACTTATACTAATAATGATGACTTTTTCTCTTCTATTCTTTGTTTTTCTTCTTGATAGTGCAAAATCATTCCAATATTACTCATTACCTGATAAAAATGTATGCTAACCCCAAATAAATATAAAATCTTCAACATGAAATTACAGGCAAAGTAAGGTCAAGGAACTGAAAAATATTTTTTATCTTTAACAAAACACCTACATTTTCTGGAGAAATGTGTTTTCTCTGAAGATTTGCTTCCATGTGAAAAATTTTTCCACAGAAAGGAACAAAATAGCAATACCATCTGAACATTTCTCTTAGTGGCCTATATTTGTAGTGTATTTATTTATTTGGCCCTGTCAGGCAGAGAGTTTCTAAATTATTTGCATGAGGAATGTCTGAAAGCAGCCCAGGCTCTATAGTATTTAGATTAGATGTAATTTGAGAAGCACTAAAGACACTCACCCAAAAATATTTTCCCCATCAATTACTATGTATCATACTTAAATTCTTATCATTTGGCATTGAGTGTCCAGTCAGCCCTAGGTCATATGCAGAAGAAATTTTATCTAGAAGTGTTTAACTAAGTACATTGTTACCTCTGAATAGAATTGTAAAAATTAGTTTATTTGAGCTTTCTTAGTCTTCTTTGAAAGGTGAAAGCAGAATTCTATAAGAATAAGATATAGGGAAAGGTAAGATCTAATGAGAAAATTTGACAGAAATATAGGAAATGTAGGCCAACGAGAAGTACCTTTCGAAGACAATGGACATCTGTGCTTAATTCTGTCAAGGAAAGGAAGCAAAGGAAAATAGGCATCACGGAGCAGGAGAAAAAGGTTGGGCCTGAGATTCAGGAAATTTAACTTCTAGTTCCAAAGCTGACTCAATTTTTAATAAATAATGCAATTTTTTATTAGCCAGCTACTGCTGCAATAATACTGTGTAACAAACCACTCTAAAACTCAGCGGCTTACCAAATAAATATGTTGGCTCAAATTTGACTAGTTGAGGGTAATCTCGACTGGGCTTGGCTTACCTCCAAGCTGCAGAGAGGTCCAAGTGTATTTCACGGATCTTTCGCTCTCCTTTGTCCAATGATTACCTGATGCAAGTTCTTTTTATGGCAAAATGCAGGATTCCAAGAGAGAAAGCCAAACCATATAAGCACATTTTAAGCCACTGCTCATACCATCGTTTCTAACATTCTATTAGCCAAAGCAAGCCACACGATCAAGCCCAAGAGCAAAGGGTAGATTCTTCTGCCCACTACAAAGCCAAGACAAAGGGGTGGAGATGACGTTGCAACAAGGAGGGGAAAAATTGAGACCCACAACTCAATCTACCAAAATTGCTCTAGGCCTTCATTTCTGCTTCTGTTGGCCTTCCAGTGAGGAAGTTGGCCTAGGTTAGTGGCTCTTAAACACCAGTCTAGTAACCAACTGCATCAGAGTCACTTAGAAAAGCATTTAAAATATTAGATTCCTAGAGTTGAGTGGGATACTAAAAACTGTATTTTTCTATTGTCCCCCTTCAACCAGGTGATTCTGATGCACAACCCCAGGCATATGTCTCAAAAGCTATTTCCAATTTTTAAGTTAGTGACCAACTTAGCCCACCATAGAGTTTATCTGGGACTGCCCTATGTGCAAAGGTATGACATTGGATGACCTGCACAGGTGATCCTGCCTACCTGACAATGCAATTTAAATACTTTATAAGACCCAGATTCTCCCCTCCATATTCCCACTATTAGATTACCTCCCAGTAGATTAGGCAGCTTATGTTTTCCATTGTTAACAGTTAATAATTGCTGTCCCTTTCTCCCCATGATGTAAGTCAGATTTTCCTGTGTACTTCACATCCCTGAAGCAAACCTCTTGGCTGCTTAAGTGTCACATCTAGACAACAATGGGCATGCAATATTCTTTAGTCTCTTGCCTACAAAGAAATTTGTCTATTGAGCTAGACAATATTAAAATTCCCAGTTTATGAATTCTCATATTTTTCAATTAGAAGACAGACTAAAGAGGAAGTATCCAAATTGAGGTGAGAGGTAAAAGAGAGCTTCCTTTCCTGGGTCTTGCAAAAAGATAAATGTAGACATAAATTTCTCATCTAATTATTCATTCCTGTTTATACATTCTTTAATGATATGTTTCCATGGTTACCAGCGTTGTTAAATGCTGCCTGTGTTTCATTTTGCTTTGATGCTATTTGAGGTAGTATGCCAGTAGGAGAGGTTCACTTTTAAATGAAAGATGTAATTGAGGCATGTATTTGATCCAAGGTTGAGTGTTCCCATGAAGGAGATAGTGACCGTGACATTATTTGCTGGTTGTATAGTTTTGTGTAGTTCTTCTGTTGATGTTCTGTGAGTGCTGCAGGCATTAGAAAGAAAGGGAAGAAAGGGGGGAGAGAGGCAAGAACCTGAACCATACACATATATAAATTAATGTGTAGATTTTACTATATACATATACATAGTGACATTGATTTAGACGGACTGTCAAGTAGGTAAGGTTGCTTTTTACTACCCCATTCCTCTCTTCTCCTCACGCTATCCCCACTTCAACCCAACATGTACATGCCAATAGGCAGTTTTTTTCGAAAATGAGTTGAGCATTCAATTGCTTTGCCTCAGTGTGAATTTCAGCACAATGCCACCTCTCTGGAGGTTTTTTGCCTTTGAAGCCCCAACTCTCACTGAGAAATAAATGGCTTAGTCCCCTGCTACCAACACAATGTCAGGCATCCAGATCATACAAGAATTTGAGGGCACTAATCCTTGCCAGTGCCTCAGAATATGCCCTGCAAGGGGCAGCGTGCTTCACTTGCACATCAGCCTTCTCTGCACGTTGATAATTAAGGCTTGTTAGAAAATTCAGGCAACAGAGCTGATACAGTCCCCGCTTCTCAGGAGGCTGAGGCAGGAGAATCATTTGAGTCCAGGAATAGTTAAAAGCTATTGCAGTGGTCCCCAACTTTTTGGTACCAGGGACCGGTTTTGTGAAAGACAGTTTTTCCATAAACTAGGGTGGGGGGATGGTTTCAAGATGATTCAAGCACATAACACTTATTGTGCACTTTATTTTCATTACTATTATATTGTGATACATAATGAAATAATTATACAACTCACCATAATGTAGGATTAGTGGGAGCCCTGAGCTTGTTTCCCTGCAACTATACAGTCCCATCGGGGGATGATGGGAAACAGTGACAGATCATCAGGCATTAGATTCTCATAAGAAGCACATAAACTAGATCCTTCGCCTGAGGAGTTCACAATAGGGTTCGTGCTCCTATGAGAATCTAATGCCACTGTTGATCTGACTGGAGGTGGAGCTCAGGCAGTAATGCCAGCAATGGGGAGCAACTGTAAATACAGATAAAGCTTCTTACTGGCCCGCCACTCACCTCCTGCTTTGTGGCCTGGTTGGGGATCTCTGAGCTATAGTAGGCTGTAACCACACCCATGAATAGCCACTGCACTCCAGCCTGGGCAACATAATGAGACTCCCATCACTATGAAAATAACATATAAATAAACTAAAAAATTCAGGCATCATAAAAAGCAAGACAATTAATCTTCAGTGACCCCTGAGTAATGTTTATTTTGTATCTTCTTCAGAAATGTCTATTTTTTCAAAATATTCCTGGTTTGGTTTTTCAGTATTATTAGTAGGTGACGGCAGAAGCCCACATCATTTAAATGCAGCTTTTTCTTTACTTTTTTTGCCTCCTAAAAAGCTTTTGGGTTTCTGATGGTTTCTATGGGAGGAAAAAAACTAACCTCCAAATTTCTTTTCATTTTCTCTCATTTGAGAAAGATATGCGCTTAGAGATGTAAAGCAATTCAGGCCTTTCTTTACTTTAACAAATTTAGGTCTAGATATTTGATTCCCAGGAGGCCTGTGGCTATTCTGCATGGTTTCCATGAGGTTATTTTATTTTCATAGAGACTTTGCCTTCCAGTCTAAATTTACAAACATGTTGACTCCTTCTCTGTGTTTGTTTGCATCTGAAAATCAAAACTTGTTATGAGCAAAACCAAATTTAGAGGGTTTTATGGTTATCTTTTCTATTTTCCATAGATTTTTATGGGTTATTGATTTACAAGCTTGCAGAGAAATTGAGGTCACTTTTTTTAGCAGTTGGAGATGTGTAATAACTATTCCATGAAATCATGAAATTTTTTAAGCTGTGTTCACTCAGGTATAAGATAATCTGTAAAGCTCAAAGCTTTTAATGTTTTTATTTATACTCAGCCATCATTTTGGTGGTATTGCACACCAATTAAAATAAATTCTCCTCTTTTCTTGAATTCATATGATTGTATTTTCTTCGCTAATTTTTGAAGACTGCCTACTTATCTGTACCTGGGCTGAATCATTCTCTTTTTCATGATAATTTTCTCCCTTCCAAATAATGAGACCTTGGCATTTCAAATGTCAGCCTTTAACATGTGGCATGATTTCGTTTTTCTCAGGATTATAAAGTAACTGTTAAGCTAACCTATTTTTATTCAAGAAAGCATAGGTGCTATTATATATATATAGTGCAGCCTACACCAGGAACCAACAACCTATGAGGAACAATAACTTCCAGAAAACCTCAGGAGGATTATTTCAAGCCCAAACATAAAGGGATGGAAAATATCATATTTAGCTGGCAAGCCTTCACTTCATTTATTATTTATTCTTCATCAGGTGGAGGTTGGCCTGCTGTAACGTTCATATAAGATGCAAATCAGAGATGTAACCAGAGACTGGACAGAGAACTTGGTAGTATAGTGGCAGGTCTCTTGAAGTTAGCACTTTATCTCATTTCATTTAATATTACGTGACATTGTGATTTTTTTCTTGTCACAAAGCACATAGAAACATATATAGGTATATAATGTATGTGGATCTATATATTATACATGTATTTTGACAAGTCCATTGCATTTCTCACAGGTGCAATTATTTCCCCTCTGAGACATTTTGATGTTAGGATGAAAGCATGGGAAGTCATGTATAGGAGGCCACCTGCCCCATAAAATTATCCTTCTGTGATCTGTTCTTTTTAAAATATAAAGTCTTCTGGGAGAGGCCACAACCTGGAAGACATTAATTGCAGACAAATTAAAGAAATAATAAAGAAAAGGCCGGGCGCAGTGGCTCACGCCTGTAATCCCAACACTTTGGGAGGCCTAGGCGGGCGGATCACAAGGTCAAGAGATCGAGACCATCCTGGCCAACATGGTGAAACCCCATCTCTACTAAAAATACAAAAATTAGACAATCGCTTGAACCCAGGAGGTGGGGGTTGTAGTGAGCCGAGATCGCGCCATTGCACTCCAGCCTGGTGACAGAGCGAGACTCCATCTCAAAAAAAAAATAATAAATAATAAAGAAAAATATAAGGTGTCTGATTGCCAGGCAAAGCTGAAACTTATGTAAGAAAAGAAATTACGGGGAGGCAAGAGAAGACCAGAACAAACTGTGAGTAATATTTCCACAGCACAGTCATCCCTCTTACTAGATTCCAGATACACTCATTTCTCTTGATCTGCACACCACCAAGGTCATGAGCTACGAGCTTCCAAGATGAACAATTCCCTTCTTAGAAGCCTCTGTTTCCTGCTAAAGATTCCACTTCTGCCCTCTGAAGCTCTGTGCAAGAACCTTTCATATATTTGGAATCCTATCTTAGTGCTGGACAGGGCTGTAAACATCATTTACAAGTCAGCATAGCATAATGGCTCAGAGGAAGAGGCCCTAAGATGTAACTAATTTGAATCCCATCTCTGTCATGAAGTAGCTGTGTGAAATTCACCATGTTGTAGAAGCTCTTTACAGACTAAGTTTTCCTCAACTATAAAATGGAGTAATAATGCTTGCTTTCCAGCATTGTTTTAGCAAACTAACAGAATAGTTTATCTACAGCACTTCGCCAACGCACAGGTGAAGACTCATTTGATAAATAAATGAGTTTTTCAGGTTTATCAGTAAGCCAAATAAAGTCTGCATAGAGAGAATCTGAGAACACGTTGCTACCTGATGACAGAAAGTTAGTCCTTGAAACCTAAATCTTGTCTCCAGATGAAACGTCCTCAAATCTTTTTAATTTGTTCTCCAACATACACTTCTTCAGAGGTATCCCTGATCTTTCCACTCAAAGTCATCTCAAATAATAGCCCAAAAGATAAAACAAATTCTGAGTAGAAAAAGCAGTACAAGTTTGAGAACGAAGTCACCAGGTCTTTGTCCCAACCCTGCCATTAATTAGTTGTGTGTACTGGCAAGGCATACCCCACTTTAAAACCACGGTCAAGAAATACAATCAAAAAACAACATACAGTTAGGAAAAGAAATACCTACCTTCATACAACTAAATGAAATATAGAGATGAAATGCACAATGACAAAAAAGGGTCCCAAGCTGTGTTGACATTTACTACTGAACACAGAGGCTAAAGCTCATTAGTAATACCCAGTTGTCCTTATGAACTAATTGCAGGTAATGTAGCTATTTATTTCTGTGACACCTTTTGGTGATTCATTTTAAGTCATCAAGAATAAAAGCTCTGTGGCATCCTAAAGAGTATGGAGGCTGCTGAAACCCACACTTGTAACTCTGAGTTTCTTTCAGCTGGCATTTCTCTAATGTGCAAGCAGAAAATTATTCAGGGTCTATAGAACAAGAACATACTTTAAGTTCTATTTATAAGTTATATATGTTTTGCCATTAAATAAGCTAGACTGACCTAAGCATGTTATTATTTAAGCCCCCTATCAAAAAGCCATTCATCTAATTTTTGTAAATGTTTCTTTTCAACACTGGCATGCCAGCTGATAGCATGTCCTAAATCTAATGAGGGGCCAGTGGACAAAACAGTCTTACTTGTGGCCAGTAGGTGTGAGTGATGAATATTCCATTTTGTGTTAGAATTGTTATAAAGAGGATCTTGATCTGGATATGGTTTGATGTGGTCTGTTTGTTTCTCTGTTTGTGCTAGAGTCAAATTCTAGCTGTCTGTGGAGACAGAAGTAGATAGTGATGAAAAAAGAAGAAGGGAATCAAAACTTGATCTTATACTTCCGAGAATTTACAATCTAATTAAAAGAATAAAATGTTGCTCACTGTAGAAGAAAGATTGGCTTAGGGGACTTGGGCTCTCATCTTGCTTTCATTTCTAATTTTGTAACCTTGGAAGAATCACCAGTACTCATCAAGCTTTAGTTTCCTTAGTTATAAAGTTTAGTGATTATAAAATAATATTTTAGATCCTTTCCATGTCCTCAGTTCTATCTTGAAGGACCATGGAAATAACATTTTACTATAAAATATAAATGATTAAAAATTAATGCAGGGTAAATTTTAGGCATTAAGTGCAGAAGTTATTTAGTTAATGGATGCATCACATATAATGAAAACTCTAACCCTAAACATACTGAATGGTAGACAGTAGCTCAAATAATATATTTACACAATTACATGCATGTGTATATACATATATATGTTCTAAAATTATATAGCAGTAACACACTACAAAACTAAATTAAATACTTTAAATTTAATATTATATTTATTATGACTATTTTTAAACAGAAAGGGTTGCAAAGTACAGAATTCAAAAAAGCTATATAAAAGTCCATTTCCCTTGCTACAAGTAACCTGTTTATGCAATTTTTAGTGATTTCTAAATAATGCAAGTAAAATTTAAATATTTTTATTTAAACTGCATGAAATATTTATAACTTTCACATCACTGGGCTGACAGAGGTAATGGCAAAGCTGCCAAATATTCTTTTATATTAAGAAAAAATGAAACTTATTGCGAATGTTCTTTCATAAAATAGCTTCCATAAACCCAGGGTAATATTCAGCATCAAAATGTTGATCATTGCAGCAGGGACAAGCAGTCAATTATTACATATTCTATTCTGACACACCATTATACTAAAATCATCATAAAAATGTAAATCTTGACTATTACATAAACGACACAGTGATTGTGTTTATAGGGTTGTCTCAAGGTAGCATATTTATGAAAATCTGTTTTTAAAATCAATTCTAAATTTCAAGAAAATTGAAATCCTCCAAATTAAACCACTATGTATATTTTAAAAATTGAATTTGAAAAACGTAGCTCACAAAATTTTATTTTTCCATTTTCTAGAAAATTATTATCATCATTTAAAATTGCATTATTATTAATATAATAACAAAGAGGTTTATTAGCCATTAAACACTAAAGGTACCTACCTCAATCATTTATAGCTTGCAAGTATAGTACTGCTTCCTTTGAATTTAATAATGTTAACTCTGAAAATAAAACAATAAAACTGTAATATTCAATCACTAGTAATACCTGCCCAGATGGATTTTATGAGGACTAAAGGAAATAGCCTATATAAAAGCATTTATCACACTGCTAAATGAAAGGTTGTTGTTTCATCTCTTTAAATGCCATGTTTTTCTTTACTTTTCAAAATAATACACAAGTATTAGTAGATAAAAAGGGATTATGAGAGAGATTCCAAGTTTCAAATTTTATTTATTAGTATTGGTATGTTAGGGTAGGCTACTATAACAAACAACCCCAAATTTCAGAAATTTAAAACAATAGAAAAATAATTTGATTTCTCACTCATAGTCCAACATGGATGTTTCTGATTGGATCTACTCTAATCATCAACTTGGGAACCCACAATGCTTCCACTATGTAGTGCCATCTTCCTTCCCACCTGTGAGTCCTTTTTTTTTTTTTTTTTTTTTTTTTGAGACAGAGTCTTGCTCTGTTGCCCAGGCTGGAGTGCAGTGGTCTTAATCTCTGCTCACTGCAACCTCCACTTCCTGGGCTCAAGCAATTCTCCTGCCTCGGCCTCCCAAGTAGCTGGTATTACAGGCGCTCACCACCATGTCTGGCTAATTTTTATATTTTTATTTGAGACAGGGTTTCACCATGTTGGCCATGCTGGTTTCGAACTCCTGGCCTCATATGATCTGCCTGCCTTGGCCTCCCAAAGTGCTGGGATTACAGGCGTGAGGATCGTGCCTGGCTGAGTCCTCTTTCTTAAGGCAGCTGACAGGAAAAGAAAATAGGGGATTATGCTAGGCAGGGTTTCATGGGCCAGGCCTGAAGAAAGTTAATGTCTCTCCCACCTCCATTCCATTGGTCCACATTCTGCCACAATTCATTGTAAGGGAGTCTGGAAAATGCCTATTATGTGCCTGCGAGGTAAAGTCATAATTTTCAAAAAAGAAAGTGAAATATAACATTAGAGACTCTAATTCTAAATTCTATAGAATTTTTTAAAGTCATTTAATAAGTCCTTAGAAGGCCGGCCATGGTGGCTCACGCCTGTAATCCAGTACTTTGGGAAGCCGAAGCAGAAGGATCACCTGAGGTCAGGAGTTCAAGACCAGCCTGACTAACATGGTGAAACCCCATCTCTACTAAAAATACAAAAATTCACCGGGCATGGTGGTGGGCGCCTGTAGTCCCAGCTACTCAGGAGGCTGCACTGGGAGAATAGCTTGAACCCCAGAGTGGGAGGTTGCAGTGAGCCGAGATCACACCACTGCACTCCAGTCTGGGCTACAGAGCAAAACTCCATCTCAAAAGAAAAGCCTTTAGAAAAGTCTCTTAAGCCTCTCCAAATCTCAAGAAGTTGGGCTGTAAGATTCCTAAGGTTCCTTCCAGATCTAATCTTCTAAATAAATCAATTTACTATGATTATAGTCAACCCTAAGACTGGAAGCAAGAAAGGAATAATTTGATGATAATCTATAATAATCATCATCACATTTTCTAATTTCACGTGACAAGATTCTTAGTAAACCACTTTCACCAAGCACATAGTTCAAAAGTTACAATTTGCCCAACTCCTCCACAAGAAAGAGAAAGGAAGGAAGGAAGGAAGGAAGGAAGGAAGGAAGGAAGGAAGGAAGGAAGGAAGGAAGAAAGAAGAAAGAAAGAAAGAAGAAAGAAAGAAAGAAAGAGAGAAAGAGAGAAAAAGAAAGAAAGAAAGAGAAAGAAAAAAGAAAGAGAAAGAGAAAAAGAAAGAGAGAGAGAGAGGGAGGGGGGAAGAGAGAAAGAGAAGGAAGGAAGGAAGGGAGGGAGGGAGGAAGGAAGGAAGGAGAGAGAGAAAGAAAGAGAGAAAGAAAGTAAGTTACATAATTCTATCATCCCGAAAATGTTTGAAGTTTATAGTTTCTGCCAGCTTAATTCTGGCTACCTTGAGTGCTCTTAAAATTTTACCAAGAAGAATCGGCCCTCTTGAGTTTAGATGAGGGAGATGAATTTTGTTTCTTTTTTGCTGGTCATGTTTCCCCCTACTTTTATTGCTTTTCTTTTCCTCTTGACGGAATATCTCTCCTCCTTGCTGTCCCATGGTCTCTTTTGTACAGTCATCCTGGGCAAGTTGATTTCTAAGGTAGCAAGGGGTTCTTTTTACTTAGCTACAGTACAAGGAGAAATTATTATAAGTTACTGTTTGTAGAGAAAATGAGCTGCCCACTTACACTCTTGGCTTATGTAACTAAATTATGAGCTTTACAACTTGATAAATGTGAGAGTAACAAAAGAGAGTTATTAGAACTCCCAAAGGTAAACACTTAATTTCAAAGCTTATTTTTGAGTAACAGCAGAGAAAGCATAATTAACAGCAATGTACATTTAACAACAGGGCACAAGGACTGATTGTTTTCTCCATTTTCTGCACACGTGCAACATTTACTGACATCAGAGAAGTTCACAGGTCCAGAAAGAATGATTCAATTACAGAATATTTATGTCAAATTAAGAAGTATCATTTGAAATCTGCTTCCATTTTTAGTATAGCTTATTTTTTACAACCAGCATTTCCTTGTCTGGTCTCTTCCTTTATTCGCAAAATCAAGGAAAATCTTTTATTATAAAAAGTAAATTTAAATCTATCTTTTATATTTTAATGTCTAAGATTATATCAAATCATTCTAGTTTTTAAAGTCCTTAAGTATAATTTTTAATTTACACATATTAGACTCTTTAAAAAGACAAGTCCAACTCTAAATTGCCAAATTATTATCATCACAAAGTGAAAATTTAATCTTTTGGTATCTAAACCAAAACAGTCAAAAAAAATCCTACTATTTTAATTGAATACAAAGGCTAAGTTTTTTCTAGATTTCACTAGTTATTCAATAATGCCATTCAATACCAATAATGCTAAATATATATATATATATATATATATATATATATGTTATATTACTCTATTTCTTTACAACAGCAATGTAGGACAGGCTCAAAGCCTCAAGATTGTCTGTCTCTAGAAGAATAAAAAATATTAGTACATTAAAACACAAAAGGATGTTTCAAGATCTGGTGCAAGGGTCATCTGTATTCTCATTTCTACTCTATGTTGTACTATTTCTTCCTGGGGCTATAATAATTTCCTTTAAGAAAGCATCTCCATGGAGAATACAATTTCTATTTGTAAATTACATACTCTCTCTATTTACTCACCCACTTCCTTACCCATCGTCTTCAGGTTGGAGAGCAGAATCCATGGAAGAACCCATCTCTATTGGTTCTCAGTGGGGAGAGAGGGAGGCTGCTCTCCAGCGCATACCCTCCTGAGTGAGAGCCCTGTTAAGGCCTGAAGGCAATGCCTTGAGCATTAAGCCAAGAGTACAGATCCTTCAATGAGCAGATCAAGCTGCCACATGAAAACCTACACTTCTGCCACTTTTTTAAAAGCTGGTGTAGGTTCTTGGGCACGAGTCTTACCATCCCCACTGTGAGATGGCTTCGCCAAGCTACCCTGCCAGCAGTCAGTTAAGCTGCCAGCAGTTGGAAAAGAAATGGGGTGGAGAGAGCGTTTTCTTCTATCCTAGCCTGACTAGGATATCACTAATATCTTTCTGGAAGCAAACTGGAGGATTATACCTTTGCTAGATTTGTTAATCCAGAAATTAAAGCAAAATACCCTTCAGCAAGATATTCAGAGACCATCAGAAAGCTGTTTCTGAGTTAGGAACTGTTATGGGCTGAACTGTACCTCTCCAAAATTCATCTGTTGAAGTCCTAACCCCTAGTGCCTCAGAGTTAGACTGCATTCCATTAGCCCACACTCAGCCACAGTTGGAGACAGAATCTTTAAACAGGTAATTACATTAAAATGAGGGCTTTAGAGTGAACCCTAATCCAATATGACTGCATGCTTATAAAAAGAGGAAATTAGAACACACACACACACGTGCGTGCACACACACAAAGAGGAATGACCATGTGAAGACATGGGGAAAGACAGCCATCTACAAGCCAAGTAGAGAGACCCTCAGAAGAAACCAAACCTGCTGACACCACTGTCTTGGACTTCCAGTCTCCAGAACTGTGAGAAAATAAATTTCTGTTGTTTAAGCCACCCAGTTGGTGGTACTTTGTTGTAGCAACCCTAGGAAACTGATACAGGCACCAATAGCTTACAAAGGCAGTAAAGTCAGCCATGACCTTAGAACTGAGGTCTAAAGCAGCTTTCCTCCTTGACACATCACTGCACATAGGCATGTGCAACCACGCGCTTGATGGTCTGGACAGGCCATCCCAGGATCAGTTCCAGCAGTGAACACAGGTAAGCACCAAACTGGAGGAATTATTCCTCCTCCTCAATATAAAATACCTTCATTTTTCCTGAAGGGCTAATACTTGGTGCCTAAACACCTTATTTGAGTTCCTAATCCACAACTCTGAATCCCAGACCTGCTGCCTGCATTATCCCCATTAGCCTTCCAAAGCTGGCATCCAGGTCTCTACGTCCAGCAATTCCTTGTCTGGTCTCTTCCTTTATTTGCCATGCACTCCATCACTAACTCCATCTGAGGGCTGGCTCTGGGTTTGGAAGAACCGCTATGTATTTTCTGTTCCCCATTCAGTTCCTTGAACTTGAACAGGACAATGTTGAAGGCCATGCAAGTTCTAGCATTCAATTATCCAATAGTTTGTTGAATTTCATTCAGAAATTTGTCCACCACTAATTTTTACATAATTTTAAGCTAGTCTCAGAGAAAGGAAGACCCTTTGCATCCAGAAAATAATTGCAAAGCTGCTCTTTTACAAGCAATGTAGATGATCATAGAGGCATTTGAAGTCACTAAGAAATGAAGCAAGCAATGAACAAGTTTATTTAGACTTCCCAGTTTAAAATCCACTCCCTGTTGTTTTTATTATCAATGGAAAACTTGTTTTCAAAATACTGTGAGGGTAATAATGTAAATTGTTGTTTGTTAAATGGTTTTTTCTCTGTTGAAAAGCTTATATCTATTATTTTTCCGTATTGTTTGTTAGTACCTTAGTTGTCTGGGAGAATTTCATTCCTATAAATAAAAATGGATTGTTTTATAATATGCTTTTATGCCATATTAAAAAACTGAGGTAACCATAGACACTTCCACGTTTTATTCAATGTTCAAGCCTCATTAGAAGGAAAAGTTGTAGGAAAGGAGTAAGTTCCTCTTAAAACTTCACATAACTTTCTTTTAGGTCTGTTACAAATAGTAATGGACCTATTTAAAACAGGAAGCTGAGGATGATGGCAGGGCTTTATCAAGAATGGTACATGAGCAAAAATAATGTAAAGAAATTCTTAAATAGCCAAAGCCACCTTAAACAGCTCTTGTGATCTGGAGGGAAGGGAAGCTTTTCTGGGAGGAAATTGAGGAAGGATTTTTTTTTAATTCCAAAAGGCTTTCCCAGGTATTGGAAAAAGAAAACAAAAAATACCGTCTGTCTAGTTTGCCGTGTTATTTACAGAATATACTTTAGATATTTTAGTTTTTAAAAGAAATCTCTCCATATACAAATTGCTCACCAATGTCTGCTCAAGAGTAAGTTAATTATAATGTCAGACTCAAGAATTTGACTTTTAAAATCAAGTAAAACATGACACCTTAGGAAACAGAATTTATATTTTTATCTTAAAACAAGCTCAGTTTAGAGGTGCCTGTTTACAAACTTTCTTCATTTAATTGGTTTTCTTAATATGAAATAGTATTTCCAGAACTAATTAAAATTTTGTTCTAATGAATATTCAAGACCAAAATATGTTATCTTTGCAGTACAGTATATAGATTTTTAAGTCATCCATAAAGGTAATTATATTTTTTACATTCTTAAAAAGTCATATATTGTTATTGATGCCAAATGGGTTGTTTGTTTCCTCTTAGGCCATGATTGAGGAAGCCATCACCAGAGCTGAATCTTTCTCGGTTATGTACACACCATTTGCGACAAAAATAAGAGCTGATAAAATAGAAAAAGTAAAAGATGCTTTCACAAAAACTCATCCTGCATATGCAGAGTATATGTACACAGGTAAGATTCAATATCTTCAAGTTATCAGCTGATATTTTGTTTCAAATAAAACAAATACAGGGTTCTTTCTGGTTTATTAGTTTATTGTTTCTGTTTTAGGAGTACACTGTTTTCATCTGATGACTTGAAACGGAAAGAAATTTTTAAGGTTTTAAATAAGGATAGCCTTATAGTTCTAGCACAATATTTCTTGTACTTTCATATTTCTATATTTTAAGAAGTAGGGATAAAACCTAGAAAATCTAACATTTTAAAAAATGGAAGAATGACCTGTAGTAAAATGCCATCTTTCCCCTTATCCTTTACCAGTAAAGGATAATCAGATGATTATAGTATTTTCCTGCAGATGGATTTTTTTTCCAGTCCCTACTATTTCTACTTATCCCCCCATCTATCTCACATCTCAAACCTTCTTCTTTCCTTATGCTCTTGAATCACTGGTATCCAAATGAGATCTGGATAGCTAAGAGTCCCATAGAGGACACAACAACTGGTATTAGGTTTTTTCCCCTTTTTCATCTTTGGAAATCACTTGTTCTCATTCTCATGCAAAAAATATTTTGTACTACCTACTGTGCATCAAGCATTATTTTGGTTTAAGAGGAGGATTTTTTTGGCATTAAATTAGGAGCTACTCAACAATGACTTCCGTGTTAAGAAAATCTCTAAATGCATACACCTGATATCACATCCTTCTATTCAGGCCCCTTCATCCCTTCTCTCAGAGTTTTGCGGCTGAGTCACTGAATTATAATGTTAATAATGTACTCCATTATTGATCACTATTAAGGTGCCAGACACTCTACATTCATTATCTCTTGATATTCCCATAATCAATGAGGTAAGGTGCTTCCCATTTAGGAACAAGAAAACAATAACCAGAGAAGACACATAGCTTTTCCAAAGATGCACAGCAAATTAGACAGGCCTTGGATTTGAACCCGTGAACATGCCATCAAGCTACACTATTTCCATGTGACAAAACCATTAAATGTAGGTCCTATGGATTTCGTACTTTTCTCCACATTCCCTCACGCTCTTCAAGGGAAAGATATCAAATAAATCCCACTAGTGATAACAGAATAGTAAATCCCTAAGGAACAATGGTAATTTGAGGGCAGAGAAAGGGAAGAGGAGAAGCATAATACGGGCCATAATAACCATATGTGCTGATTTACTTAGTTTGAGCATTTCATAAGAAAGCAGGTTAAAAAAAAAGTCTTCGAACTCATATTTTTTGTTAATTGTTACAAATTATTCATTATTCTTATGGATATTTAAAGGATTTTTTGGAGGGTGTATGCTAGCAGCACATAAAAGTCATATCTATCTAGCATTATGGAAAAATGAGTTCGATTCAGCTATTTCCATTTCCACTCCCAGATCCATTGGTAACGAAGAGAGATTCATTGAGGAGATCACCAGTTTGCCAATCTCTCTTCTGGTAGAATAAGTTTAGTTATATTTAACCCATTTCACAGAGCAGTCATGAAGATTAATTAATAGTTCGGAAGCACCACTGCCAAGAGTTTAAAAACAATAATAACATTAATGAGCCAGACTCATGTCTCATGTAATTCTATCAAACCTGTTATCAAGATGAATTATGATCTGTTGGCAAGACGATTCATGCTAAAGAATCTTACACTTTGGGAGAGAAGATAATTATAAGTTACTAATGATTGTTTCTATTATCTTATAATTACAAACTGCTAGAGTATGCTAGTGCTATAGAGAATCTTGATAGAAAAGACAGCTTCTGGAGGAGGAACGTGAGGTAGAGAAAGGAGTCTAGAATTTAAATTTCGTTGGGACTGATAAAGTTCTTTGCTCTGTGGAAACTGTGCTTTGGGTTAACAATGCTACTGCATTGGTGACATTATTTACCTCTGTTGCAAATTATTAAAGGGTTTCCCCAAAGCCATTGCTGGAATAATGGTGAAAGAACTGTTACTAACTGTATGTGCACAGCCTTGGAGGTATAACTCTTTTTCCCCCAGGCAATTCCAAGGTGGCTGAGGGCATACAGCATGGGAAGAGGAAAGGTCAGGTGTTATTTTTAGCTCTGGACACCTCTCCCAGAAGATGCAGAGAGGTGATTAGAGCTGCATCAGTAGCCGAAGGTAATAGCTAAGAAGTAAGTAACATAAAGACAGATAGGGCCTAGAAGAGTAAACACTTTGTTTTCGTGGTAGTTTCCAAAAACCAGAATCCTCTGATGTCTTTTGGCTGTGTCTCCACCCAAATCTCATCTTGAATTGTAATAACCCCCAAGTGTCAAGGGCATGGCCAGGTGGAGATAATTGAATCATGGGGGTGGTTTCCCCCATACTGTTCTCATGGTAGTAAATAAGTCTCACATGATCTGATGGTTTTATAAGTGGGAGTTCCCCTGCACAAGTTCTCCTGCCTGCTGCCATGTAAGGCGTGATTTTCTTCCTCCTTTGCCTTCCACCATGATTGTGAGGCCTCCCCAGCCATGTGGAACTGTGAGTCAATTAAACCTCTTTCCTTTATAAATTATCCAGTCTTCTGTATGTCTTTATTAGCACCGTGAGAACAAACTAATGCATCTTCCTATTATCAGCCTTGTAGATAGAATTTAAGAAGCTTCTATCCTGATGAAAATTTATTCAGCTATTTATTGTAACATATATTCATGCAACCAGTATGAATAGACTGTCACACAGCAGATGTGTGCAAACATAAGAGTCTATATGTTTTACCTATCTATTTTCTTCTTTGCTCTGCCCAGAGCCAAAATATATTCTGTCTCATCCCAGGGCACTCAGTATAATCCAGTCATTTCTAAAATTAATCTATCTTTAGAACCTATCTAACCACATTCACCAGCTTCCTTCTCCTTTTCAAGAGTTTTTCTTCTCCCTGTGGTTTGGTTTAGCTTTCATAGAGCTCAAGCATACCCTGTGTCCAAAAGGGTCAGTGAACACATAAGGGAGACATCCTCTTCTCAATCTGTAGCAGGCTGGTACAGCTGCTTATCAGACGGCTGGTGCTACCTGAGATCAGCTCTGGCGTCTTGAGCAGGACCTGATGGATTCATTTATGTGGCCCATTAAGTGACCCAAGGCATCTACATGGGTTCTCCATTCTGTTTATTGGTGTAGTTGCTTCTTCGTATGTACTCCAACCACCCTTACCGTACCAGTTGGCCCAAACTAGAGCCACTCTCTGAGATTTCCTCTTCCTGCTGGACTGCTAGCTTGTGAACCCAGCCACTTTCTGAGTCTTACTCAATAAATCCCCTCCATTCCACAGAAGACTAGAAGTTGTCGTAGCCCTCTCTTCAACTGGCTATGTTACTCTGCCATTTTTCCCTTGCTGCATTCTCCAGCAAGCCAGGACCCTTAGGACAAGAAGAGGATCTACAATGGAGATTGAGGTGGGAGGGGGGTTGTTCATCTATTCATTTATTCAGCGAACATTTATTTACACAGTACTCTAGGTGGTACTGAGAATACAACTGCTCCTAAGAAAGGATCCGACTTTAGTAAGCTATACTTCAGCATGAATATTGGACCATATTTTTCCCTTTTCCTAGAGAATATTTTCAACAAAAACCAAAGCTCTAATTGTGGAATGGAAGGCTGACTCTAATTAAAAGAATTATGTAGGATAAACAGAGCAGTTTGGGAATAGAGGTTGTTGTCACTTAATATGGCAAAAACTGGCTAGTTGTTTACCAAACTGTTTTCTTTTTTTTTTTTTTTTTTTTTTGAGATGGAGTCTCACTCTATTGCCAGGCTGTAGTGCAGTGGTGAGATCTCAGCTCACTGCAACCTCCACCTCCCGGGTTCAAGCGATTCTCCTGCCTCAGCCTCCCAAGTAGCTGGGACTATAGGGGCACGCCACCATGCCTAGTTAATTTTTGCATTTTTAGTAGAGACGGGGTTTCACCATGTTGGCCAGGATGGTCTCAATCTCTTGACCTCATGATCCACCCACCTTGGCCTCCCAAAGTGCTGGGATTACAGGCGTGAGCCACTGCACCCGGCCCAAACTCTTTTCTTTTTACCTCAGTCATACATCTAGAATCCATTTCCAGCCTCCCTTCCAATTAGATGAAGATTTCTGACTGAGTAATGGTCAAGGAAAAACGGACAGATGTGATATATGTCACTTCCAGGCCTGGCCCATAAAGCCCTCCTATGTAAAATTCTCTTTCCCCATCCACTGGCTGAGTGGGGAGAAGCATGGAAAGAGGCTGCAAAACAAAAGAAGGTAGATTCCTGAATGTCCATGTAGATGGTCACCCTCCGAATACTCTGAATACCCACATGAACAAAAAACAGTTATCTCTCTTTAGACCACTGAGATTTGGAGCTTCTTTGTTAAATCTGGTAACTTTAACATATTTTTCTGTCCTACATCATAACAAGTAGGCAGCTTCCTACTGCATCTACAGTGTATACAACAAGTTCTTGCTAACTCGATCAAATAAACACTCATCCACATGCAGCCTACTCCATCCTCAAAAACACTCAGCATTTGTACATATATCTATTCCTCTACCTCACACTCCCCCCTCCACAGACAGCTACAGATGATGTTCTCATAAACATGTGTTTGTACCCGCCCACAGAAAGATAATATTTCCAGAGAGACACTGATGCTCCAAGAGATAAAATACAATTATGAAGCTTTCACTGCAGCAAGACAAATGGAAGCTATATGTAAGAATTTCTAAATTATAGAAGTCATCTAAATAAATAATCAACAGATGAAGGTCGTACAATCTGTACCTTGAAGATTTTGGATGAAGAGTCTACCTATCAAAGTTTTGCTGGAGAAGTAATTATTATCATTAAAACTTGGAGACTAGCATATTTAATTCACCCAGTGGAGGCTGGCAAGCAAACCTCCAACTCAGAAACTCTGCCCAACTTTAGGTCACCTTCATCAAGCATAGATAGTGTCGAGTTTATTGCTCCCTGGTCACGTGACAGTGCCATGAGCCCAGCACAAGCTGGCAGAGGTGCTGGTGATGAGCAGGGAGAGTATTCACAATGGAGGTCCTCCAGGCAGTATTTTCTCTCCAGCCAGCCCCCAATTCACAGTCACCCTTGTCAGGGATATCCATGGGAAAAACAGACACAAGGGGGAAAAGTATAAAATTAATTCATTCTGAAATGTATTTAGGTTTAAATTTTTTTTTTTTTAAATTATCAAATAAGCCAATCGCATTATCTATGAACTTTACAGTGGATTATCATGAGAAGACCTATTCACTTCCAGTGGCAGGTATAAGATTATATTACCCTTATAATTTCTATGAGACTGATGAGGGAGAGTTAAAATTCAAATCTGCCTTGTAGATCAACCAGGTTTATACATGCTCAGGAACTTACTGTGCATCCTTTTCTGTTTCAGGAATATAATAAAACCCATCAAAATCTTAAAGTCGTATTATAATAGAGCTGTATTGTATTATATTTCATGGAGAAAAAAATTACTGATTTTTTTTCACAGTATAGCTATCCATTTTTATTATTTAAGAAAAAAACCTAGCTTGATTCATACAGAGTAGTCAGGGTATATAAAACAAATAATAATTTACCAGCCCCAGAATTTTTATGTTTTCATTTATAAAGATTTGGCTTGAGATTTTTATTCATATATTCCAATGAAATAATGCAATTCTGCATAGTTCTTATTCTTGCATGGTTGTATTTTAATAATAATAAAGTAATACAATCCGCATATCCTGTCTCCTCTTGATGAAAATATCAAGATTTATTTGCTAAATAAATAAATATTCAGTAATGGATCTGTGGTTAGTAATGTTTAATAGAAAAGTTTTCTGGATCAGATATCAATTACTTTAACACTTAGGTGGATAGAGTCATATTTTGTCTTTCCAATGCAATTTAAATCCCAAGAGTAAATATGTATGTTCGCATAAATAATATATTGTTTTAAATTAGACCTTTAAAAATTACTTTTCATTGAAATTTATAACCTTGTTCTTGTTCAGTCATCATTTACCAGTAAGAATAATACATTCTTATGTTGTCTAAAACATGAAGTTAACATTTCTCATTTTATTCTTTCTTCTTTAAATTATTGTAATTTTATCATGATCAAGAGTTTTCAAAATCAGACTATTTTCCTCTTTGTAACTAGTTTTCTTGAATAGAAAAAGTTATAGAATTAAACAGTCTTCAGCCCCAATATTTATGAAAGTGTTAAAGCCAGTTTGGTTATAAGACGATAAATCATCTAATATTTGCACCGCAGAATTCTTCTTAGAATCAGAAAATTGTTCCCAAGGTAAAGAAATCCCTCATCTATGGGGCTAAATTCTCTTTTCTTAAAATATTAAAACGTTGATCTTCCCAATGGGAAGTATGGTGCTCTGGCATTGCTCCATCTAATGGAGTTCACCTCCATTTAACCACTTCTCAACCAGCAGTTCACTTGTCCTTTGCAGTAGCAGGTGACAGCGCTGTTTGCCTCTGGTCTCCATCATCCACTGCACCTGAAACCCCTGAAACTACAATGTCTTCTGCTTAGCATATTGTCTTACGGGATCTGACTGAAGAAGGCAGACAAGTTGCATTTAAAGAAACAGCAGTCAATAATCCAAAAATAAGTGGAAGTAATATAAATTTTTCCTGCAGCCTCTCAAGAAAACCCATGAGTTGAGGTAGGGTAGGCAGTTGTAATGGGGTATGTGGTAGAAATTAAACAGGTATTGTAGATATTGTATCCATAATGCTCAGCAAAACCTTGTAAAATGCACATGTACATAAACACAAACATTCACATGGCAGCTTCCCTCAATCTCCTTTCCTACTCAAAATTCTCCAGATACGTCCTCTAAATTTATTCCCTCATGAATTGATGAGTCTCTTCCACTGTCATTCTTGATGGTCTTACCAGTTTCTCAGGTTCTTACCCATCCCCATTATCTCGGTCTACATAAGAAAGCCCCAAGGCCATTTCCAAACAAGCAGAACTCATTTTAGCAGGCGACGGAGTTCTCAATATGAGTGAGGTAAGTGCTCAACCGTTAACACTTTATTTTTCCTGAATCACTTTACTTATGTTTTATAATGTAGCCTCTCTGTCAACAATATAGTTAATCATTAGGTGCTGCCATCTAATAAATCATGCAGCCAAGCATTAAAATCCCTGAAGACTGAACTCTCAGTAGTATATAACAATTTTAAATTGAGAATTTAAAAAAATTTTGAAGTCAATGTTGCACAGAATTACAAATTTTTTTACTTTGTAGAGTTACGTTTTTTCTTTGTATATTCAGCATTCAAATCCTATTTATTTCTCCTCTAATACTTGGCTCGCAATTAACCTACACCTTACGAGCATTAGCATTTTCTTGATGATCTTATGGTCTACAAATAATCACTGCATTTTACAACTAAAGTAGAGCCCCATCCAGCCCATTTATTTATTTATTTATTGCTTTTAGTAGTTTTATTTTTAAAAACATTCTATGGTATCACACACATAAAAAAATCCATTTTAAAATACAGCTTAACTAATTTATTATGGAGTAAACATCAAGTCAAAAAAGAAAACATGACCAGCTCTCCAGATACCCTTTACTGGCCCTTTATTAATCCCAAACAACTCCCTACCCCCTACCAAGGTAACTAATGTCCTAAAGTTCAGAGTAATTATCTTCTTACTTTACAGCATTACCACCTATCTATTCCTAAACTCTAGACTTCAATTTGCCTGCTTTGAAATGTTATAAACCTGAAATCATAGAGTAGATGCTCTTTTGTATCTGACTTCTTTTGCTCAATAATTTGTTTATGAACTTCTTCCACGTTGCAAAAAGCATTAGTTTATTCATTTTCATTGCTGTATAATATTCTGTCCTATGAATAGACAGGTCTGGTATTGATGAAATCCCTCAGTTTGGCTAGGCGTGGTGGCTCACCCTTGCAATCCCAACACTTTGGAAGCCGAGGTGGGAGAATCACTTGAACCCAGGAGTTCAAGACCAGCCTAGACAACATAGCGAGACCCCCATCACTACAAAAAAATTAAAAATTAGCTGGACATGATGGTACACATCTGTAGTCCCAGCTACTCGGGTGGCTGAGTGGGAGGGTCACTTGAGCCTAGGAGGTCAAGGCTGCAGTGAGCCATGATCACAGCACTGAACTCCAGCCTGGGTGACAGAGCAAGACCCTGTCTCAAAAAATAATAAGAAAATTAAAAGAAAAAAAGAGAAAAAGTAATCCCTCAGCTTTTGTTTGTCTGAGAAAGTCTTAATTTCTCCTTCGTGCTTGAAAGATATTTTTACCAGATACACTATTCTAGGGTAAAATACTTTTTCCTTCAGCACTTTAAATATGTCATGCTACTCCGGCCTGGCCTATAAGGTTTCCACAGAGAAGTCGGCTGCCAGACGTATCGGAGGTCTTTTGCATGTTGTTTCTTTTCTCTTGCTGCTTTTAGAATCGTTTATTTATCCATGGCCTTTGGGAATTTGATTATTAAATGCCTTGAGGTAGTCTTCTTGGGGTTAAATCTGCTTGGTGTTCTATAACCTTGTACTTGAATAGTGATATTTTTCTCTAGGTTTGGAAAGTTCTGTTATCATTTTGAAGGACTTCTACCCCAATCTCTCTCTCTCTCCCTACTTCCTCTTTAAAGCCAATAACTCTTATATTTGTACTTTT